>NC_000006.12:62610382-62913412 GCF_000001405.40 Homo sapiens | reverse complement strand
AATTATCTCAATTTAGCCATTCTACAATGTATAGATCTTTCAAACATCATGTTGTTCATGATAAATATACACAATTTTGGTCTATTATGAAAAGAAAGTGGTAAAATAGTAGCTAAAATTAATGAAATTAATCAAACAAAATAAGTCAATCTGAGTATGTATTTATTTTAAAAAACAACAAAATTGACCAGGACTTTTTCAATTTTGTGATAAAAAGGAGAAAAGGCAAAATTAATCAATATGTAGAATGAAAATGATAACTTTAATTCTAAACATACTGATGTTTAATTTTTCACAAGTTTTGACAAACTTTTAAATACCAGTGAGCAATATTATGGCAAAAATATAAAATAAGAATGTCCTGGATGAAACTATGTAAGAAATATAATTTATTAAGAAAAAATGGAATATCTAAATAATTGCCTGCATTTATTAAAGAAACAACGTATAATTTAAAACCTTTTCATGAAGAGCACTCTTGTTCTATTTGTCTCTACTGATTAATTCTTCCAAAAACTTAGGAAAAAATAACATACATATATATGCATGTTATACATATATATATGTATGCTATTTTTTGTGTGTATATATATACACATATATACACATACACACATACATGTAGACACAAACATGTAAATTTATATGTGTATATAAACACACACACACACACACACACAACACACTTTTCTTGATATTAGAAAAAGAGAGAACACTTCCCAGCTCATTTTATAAGCCCACAGAAGTCTTTTTTCTTTTGTTTATTTTACATTTTTTTATTTTTAATTTTTGTAGGTACATAATAGGTGTATATATTTATAGGGTACATGAGTTATTCTGATACAGGTACGCAATGTGTAATAATCACATCATAGAAAGTGGAATATCTATTCCTTCAAGCATTTATCCTTTGTGTTACAAATCATCCAATTATACTTTTAGTTATTTCAAAATGTACAATTATTTTTACTATAGTTTCCCTGTTGTGCTGTCAAATGCTAGGTATTATTCATTCTCACAAACTATTATTTGTACCCATTAATCATCACCCCCCATCCAACTAAACTTACCAACCTCTGTAACCCTTCTCTATTCTCTGTCTTCATGTGTTCAATTGTTTTTATATGTACATGCCACAAATAAGTGACAACATGTAATGTTTGTCCTTCTGTGTAGAGTCTGTTTCACTTAACATAATGACCACCAGTTCCATCAATATTGTTGCAAATAACAGGAACTCATTTTTTTATGCTGAATAAGTATTACATTGTGCATAAGTACCACATTTTCTTTATCCAGTCATCTGTTGATGAACACTTAGATTGCTTCCAAATCTTGGCTACTGTGAACAGTGCTGTAACAAACATGAAAGCACATATATCTTTTCCGTAAATGAATTTCCATTCTTTTGGGTATATACCAATAAGTGGGGTTGTGGATCATATGGTAGTTCTATTTTTATTTTTTGGGGGAAGTTCCAAACTGTTTTTCGTAGTAGTTGTACTAATTTAAATTCCCTCCAATAAAGGCTGAGGGTAAGCTTTTCTCCACATCCTCTCCAGCAATGATTATTGCCCATCTTTTGAATAAACCATTTTCACTGGGGTGAAATGATATTTTACAGTAGTTTTGATTTTCATTGTTCTAATGATCAATGGTGTTGACCACATTTTCATATGCCCACTTGCCATTTTTTTGTCTTCTTTTGAGAAATGTTTATTCAACTTTTTGTCCCATAATTATTAGATTTTTTTCTATATAGTTATTTGAGATCCTTACATATTCTGGTTATTAATTTCTTGTCAGATGGGTAGTTTGCAAATATTTTTTCCCATTCTATGGGTTGTCTCCTCATTTTGTTGATTGTTTCCTTTTCAGTGCAGAAGGTTTTTAACTTGATGTAATCCTGTGTGTCAGTTTTTGCTCTTGTTACCAGTGTTTGTGGGGTATTACTCAAGAAATTTTTGCCCAGATCAATCTACTAGAGAGTTTCCCTAATGTTTTCTTGTAGCAGTTTTATAGTTTATGTCTTAGATTTAATTCTTTAAATCATTTTGACTTGAATTTTGTATATGGTGAGAGACAGAAATTGAGTTTCATTCTTCTGCATATGGATGTTCAGTTCTCCCAACACCATTTGTTGTGGAGACTGTCTTTTCTCCAATGCATGTCATTGGCACCTATATAAAAAATGAGTTCACTATAGGTTGATGGATTTGTTTCTGTATTCTGTATCCTCTTTCCTTGGTTTTTGTATTTGTTCTTATGCCGGTACCATGCTCATTTGCAGACTATAGTACAGACTATAGCTCTGTAGCATAATTTGAAGCCAGGTAATGTGATTCCTCCAGTTTTACTCCTTTTGCTCAGGGTGACGTTGGCTATTCTGGGTCTTTCATGGTTCCACATAAATTTTAGGATTTTTAAAAAAATTTCTGTGAAGAATGTCATTAGTATTTTGATATGGATTGAATTGAAACTATAAATTTCTTTGGGTAGTATGGGCATTTTAACAACATTGATTCTTTCACTCCATGAACATTTGTTCTTTCCAATTTCTTTCAACAGTGTTTTATAGTTTTCATTATAGAGATCTATCATTTCTTTGGTTAAGTTAATTCGTAGGTATTTAATTTTATTTGTGGCTTTTATAAATGGAATTACTTTTTAAATTTCTGTTTCAGATTGTTCACTGTTGGCATATAGAAATGCTACTAATTTTGTTTGTTGATTTTATATCGTACAACTTTACTGAATTTGTGTATCAGTTCTAAGCTTTTTTTGGTGAAGTCTAGGTTTTTCCAAATACAAGATCATATCATCTGCAAAAAGGTAATTTGACTTCTTCCTTTCCAATGTGAATGTCCTTTATTTTTTTCTCTTGTCTGATTGTTCCAGCTAGGACTTCCAGTACTATGTTGAATAACAGTGGTGAAATTGGGCATCCTTGTAGTGTTCCAGATCTTACAGAAAAGATTTCACATTTTCCCCATTCAGTATGATATTAGCTGTAGGTCTGTTATTTATGCCTTTTATTATGTTGAGATATATTTCTACTATACCCATTTTTTTGATGTTTTTTTATTACAAAGAGATGGTAAATTTTACTGAATTGTTTTACAGCATCAATTGAAATGATTATATGGCTTTGTTTTCATTCTGTAGATATGATATATTATATTTATTGATTTGTGTATACTGAACAATCTTCACATCCCAGGGATACATCCTACTTGGTCATGATGAATTATCTTTTTAATGGATATTTGAATTTGATCTGCTAGTATTTCGTTGAGGATTTTTTAAATTAATATTTCTGAAAGATGTTGGCCTACAGTTTTCTTATTTTGAGTTTATTTTCTCTGGTTTTGATATCAGGTTAATACTAGCCCTGTTTAATGAGTGTGAAAGTCTCTTCCTCCTCCACTTTTTGTAAAAATATGAGCAGGATTGCTATTATCTCTTATTTAAATGTTTGGTAAAATTCAAGAGTGAAGCCATTGGGTTCCAGGCTTTTCTTTACTTGGAGGCTTTTTATTGTGAGTTCAATCTCCTTACTTGTTACTAGGCCGTTAGGTTTTAGATGTCTTCCTGGTTCAATCTTGGTAGGTTATATGTGTCTAGGAATTTGTCTATTTCTTCTAGAGTTTTCCAATTTATTAGCGTATATTTGCTCATAGAAGCCACTAAGAATCCTTTGAATTTGGGAGGGGGGGTATCAGTTGTAAAGTCTCCTTTTTGATCTCTGATTTTATTTATTTGGATCTTCTCTCTTTATTTCTTAGTTAATCTAACATAAAGTTTGTCAATTTTGCTTAACTTTTACAAAAAACAACTTCTTGTTTAATTGATCTTTTGTATTTATGTATTTTGTATTTTTTCCCATTTCTATTTGATTTATTTCTGCTCTAATCTTTATTATTTCTTTTATTCTATTAATTTTAGGTTTGATTTGCTTTTGCTTTTCTAGTTCTTTAAGATACATCACAAGATTGTTTAAAGTTTTTCTTCTTTTTTGATGCAGGCACTTATAGCCATAAATGTCCCTCTCTTTAGTACTGCTTTCGCTGTATCCTATTGGATTTCGTATATTGTGTTTTCATTATCATTTGTCTCAAGAAATTTTTAAATTTCCTTCTTAATTTCTTCATTGACTCACTGGTCATTCAGGAGTATATTGTTTAATTTCCATGTGCTTGTATAGTTTTCAAAATTCCTCTTGTTATTGATTTCTAGTTTTATTCTAATGTGATCAGAGAAGATCCTTGACACTATTTTAATTTTCTGCATGCTTTCAGACTTGTTTTATATCTAACTGTGTTAGTCAGGGTTATCTAGAGGGACCAAAATAATAGGGTATGTGTATATATAAAAGGGAATTTGTTAAGAAGAATTAACCTACATGATCACAAGGTGAAGTCTCATGATAGGCCATCCGCAAGCTGGGGGGCAAGGAAGCCAGTAGTGGCTCAGTCTGAGTCCCTGAACTCAAAATTAGAAAAAGCCAGCAATGCAGTCTTCAGTCTGTGGCCAAAGGCCTGAGAGCCTTTGGCAAACCACTAGTGTAAGTCCAAGAGTCCAAAAGTCAAGGACCGTGGAGTATGATGTTCGAGGGCAGAAAGCACCCAGCACTGGAGAAAGATGAAGACCGGAAAACTCAGCAAGTCAGCTTCTTCCACCTTCTTCTGTCTGCTATTTCTAGATCGGCTTGCAGCTGATTGGATGGTGCCCACCCATATTGTGGGTGGGTCTTTCTGAGGGTGGGTCTTTCTCTTCCAGCCCACTGACTTAAATGTTAATTTCTTCTGACAACACGCAGAAACACCCAGATATACCCAGAAACAATACTTTACATCCTTCAATCAAATTAAGTTGAAACTTAATATTAACCATCTCACTAACATATGGTCTGTTTTTGAGCATGATCCATGTGCAGAGGAAAAGAATGTGTATTCTGCAGCCTTTGAATGAAATGTTCTGTAAATATTTGTTAGTCCCATTCATCCTACAGTGCAGATTAAGTCTGATGTCTCTTTGTTCATTTTCTGTCTGAGTTAATGCTGAAAGTGGGGTGTTGAAGTCTCCAGCTATTATTATATTGGGACCTAACTCTCACTTTAGCTCTAATAATATTTGCTTTGTATATCTTGATGCTCCTGTGTTGGGTGCACATGTATTTAAAACTGTTATTTCCTCTTGCTGAATTGAGCCCTTTGTCTTGAAATCTATTTTGTCTAATATAAGAATAGCTATTCCTGCTCTTTTTTGGTTTCCATTAACTTGGAATATCTTTATCCATCCCTTTATCTTTTGTCTATGTGTGGCTTTATAGGTGAAGAGTATATCTTGTAGGCAACAGATTACAGGGTATTTTTAAGGAATCCATTTGTCTACTCATTTCTTTTGATTGGAGAGTTTAGTCCATTGATATTCAACATTATTATTGATAAGTAGATACTTAAACTTGCCATTTTGTTACTTGTTTTCTTGTTATTTTGTTGTCTTCTCTTTCTTCTTTTCTGTCTTCCTTTTAGTGAAGGCTACTTCCCCTGGTGGTATGATATAATTTCTTGCTTTTAATTTTTTGTATATCCATTGTATATTTTTCATTTTGAGGTTACCATGAGGCTTGCAAATATTATCTTATAACCTACTATTTTAAATTATGACAATTTAACACTGATTGCATAAACATGCAAAAAGAAAACCAATAAAAACTCTACATTTTAATTTCATGCCTTTTAACTTTTTGTTTTTTTCTTTATGTTTTAGTGTACTCTCCATGTCTTAGAAAGTTGTAGTTATTTTTATTTTTTCATTAGTTAGTCTTTCTACTTATGGGTAGTTTACACACACAATTACAGCATTGAATTATTCTATTTTTCTGTGTGCTCACTATTACCAGCAAGTTTTGCACTTTCAGGTAATCTCTTATTGCTTATTAACATCTTTTTTTTCAGATTGATGAACTCCGTTCAGCATTTCTTTTAGGAAAGGTCTGGTGTTGATGAAATCCCTCAGTTTTTGTTCATCTGGGAAGGTGTTTATTTCTCCTTTAACTTGAAGGATATTTTCACTGAATATATTATTCCAGGGTGAAAAGTTTTTTTCTTCTGCACTTTATGTCATGCCACCTCCTGGACTGTAAGGTTTCCATTGAAAATTCTGCTGTCAGACACATTGGAACTCCACTGTATCTTATTTGTATCTTTCCTCCTGTTGCTTTTAGGATCCTTTCTTTATATTTGAGCTTTGGGAATTTGATTAGTAAATGCTGTGTGGTAGTCTTCTTTGGGTTAAATCCTTTTGGTGTTCTATAACCTTGTACTTGAATGTTGATACCTTTCTCAAAGTTTGGGAAATTCTCTGTTATTATCTCTTTGAATAAACTTTCTACCCTTATTTCTTTCTCTTCCTCCTCTTTAAAGCCAATATCTCCTAGATTTGCCCTTTTGAATCTCTTTTCTAGATCTTGTAGGAATGCTTCATTGTTTTTTATTCTTTTTTTCTTTTGTTTACTCTTATTGCATATTTTCAAATAGCCTGTCTTCAACCTCACTAATTCTTTATTCTGCTCAGTTTTGCTACTGATTGATGCATTCTTCTGTATGTCAATTGTATTATTCAACTCTAGAATTTCTGCCTGATTCTTTTTAATTATTTCGGTGTCTTTGTTAAATTTGTTTAGTAGAAATCTGAATTTCTTCCCTGTGTTACCTTGAATTTCTTTGAGTTGCTTCAAAACAGCTATTTTGAATTCTATGTCTGAAAGGTCACATTTCTCTGTTCCCCAAAGGTGGTCCCTGGTGCCTTATGTAGTGCCATTTTTTTTTTTTTTTTTTTTTTTTTTTGTGATCGAGTCTCACTCTGTCGCCCAGGCTGGAGTGTGATGGTGCGATCTTGGCTCACTGCAACTTCCCTCTCCTGGGTTTAAGCGATTCTCTTTCCTCAGCCTCCTGAGTAGCTGGGATTACAGGCACGTGCCACCACGACTGGCTAATTTTTGTATTTTTCTGGTAGAGACAGGGTTACATCCTGTTGATCAGGCTGGTCAGTGTCTTATTTAGTTCCTTTGTTAGGTCATGTTTTCCTGGATGATCTTGATATCTATAGATGTTTGTCAGTGTCCGGGCATTGAAGAGTTATGTATTTATTGTAGTTTTCATCATCTGGGCTTGTTTGTGCCTGTCCTTCTTGAGAAGGCCATTTGTTCAAAGGGACTTGTGTCCCAAGCTCAATATTACTGTGGTTTTTTGCAGAGTTTTAGTGATACCGCCTTAGTGGTCTTAGATATGATCTGGAAGAATTCTCTGGATCACCAAGCAGAGACCTTTGTTTTTTTCCCTTACTTTCTCCCAAGCAAATGGAGTCTCTCTCTCTCTCTGTGTCAAGCTGCCTGGAACTGGGGATGTGGTGATGCTGGCACTCCTGCGACCACCACCACTAAGACTGTGCTGGATCTTTTTAGAAGCCAGCACAGCACTGGGTCTTGCTCAAAGTCTGCTGTAACTGCTACTTGCCCATCACCTATGTTCACTCATGGCCCTAGGGTTCTACAATTAGCAGGTGGTAAAACCAGCCAGGTTTGTCTCCTTCCCTTCAGGGCAGCAAGCTCCCCTAGGCCTTGGGTAAGTCCAGAGATGCTATCTGGGAGCCAGGGTTTAGAGTCAAAAACCTTAGAAATTTGCCTAATGTTCTATTCTATTGCAGCCAATCTGGCACTCAAACTACAAAAGTAAATCCTTCCTCTTCTTCCTTCCCTTTTCTATAGGCAGAGGAGCCTCTCCTTGTGGGCACCACCACCACCAGCCCACAGGGCGTTTCTGCCAGTCCATCGCCAATGTTCACTTAAAGCTCAAGGGCTCTTCAGTTAGCTTGTGGTGAATCCTGCCTGGCCTGGGACTCCTTCTTCAGGGCAATGGTCTCCCCTGTGGCCCGGGGCAGGTCCAGAAATGTTGTCCAAGAGCCTAGGCCTCAATGTGGGGACCTCAAGAGCCTACTTTTTGCTCTACTCCACTGTAGCTGAGCTGGTACCTAAGGTGTAAGACAAAGTCCCCTTTACTTTTCCCTCTGCTTTCTCAAGTAAGTCTTTCACCACAACCAACATAGCAGGGAATGTGCTGGGTTATGACTGCAGTCAACATGTCTCAGAGCCCCAGGCCCATCACATACTACTTGGGCATCACCGCTGGTTATTAGGGTCCCAAGCGCTCTTTAGTCAACAGGTGATGAATCTTGCCAGGACTGGGTCTTTTCTTTAAGGCAGCAGTTCCCTTTTGGCCCAGGGTGGGTCTAGAAATGTCATCTGGGAGCCAGGACCTAGAATGGGGGCCTTGTGACTCTGCTCAGTGCCCTACCCTACTGTCGCTGAGCAGGTATCCAAGATGCAAGACAAAGTCGCCTTTACTCTTTGTTCTCAGTCCCTTAAGAGAAGAAAGGAGACACTTTCATTGCTGCTAGCCGCACTGCCTGGGATTGTGGGAGGGATGGCTCAAGCCCTTCTTTAGCTGCGCCAGCTAGTGTCTCCCTAGTCACATGCTAACGTAGTCCTTTGGCTCTGAGCCAAGCCCAGCACTAGGAATTGCTTAGGAATTGCAGTCTTTGTATCCTAAACTGCCTTTCAAGTTTACATAGAACCCCAACCTCAGAGCACTTTGCCCCATGGTGGGGAGACTTTCTAAGAAACTTAAATTTTAGATGATGGGAAGGGTAATTCCCCTCTGGCTAGGTCTGGTCCAAATGCTCCCTTTGTGCAGGAGCACTGGTTGAGCCCAGCATGGCTTTACTCTCTGCTATGACAGGGCAACACTGAGTTCAATGTAATATCCTCTAGTCACTTTGTTCTTTCTCCCCCAAATGCGTAGACTCTTTGCTCTGCAGGGACACTGCCAGTGAATAATGTAGGAGGGGTGGCATAAGAGATTCAAGACGACTCTCTAACCCTCCTCAATACCTCTTTCAATAAAATGAGGTAAAAAGCATGTACTGTACTTGTTCACCTGATTTTTGGTTTTTGTGATGGTGTTTTTCTGTGTGCAGATAGTTGTTAAAATTTGATGTTCCTGTAGGGAGGTATGAATAGTATAGGATTCTATTTTGTCATCTTGCTCCAGCCTCTCCATAGAAATCTTGATAACAAAACCTACGGAAAACTACTAAAGGAAATACAGGCAAATACTTTTCATGAAAATAGAGACATGCAAAATTGGATGGAGTCCATGAACTTACCCATAATAATATAGATAGTTGGTTTATTTAAAAAGTGTAACTGAAGAGAAATTGAGAAAGGACCTTCCTTTTAATATCTTGTGACTGGTAAGTTGGATATACATGTTGAAATAAATCTGACCCCTTCCTCAAAACAGTTATTTCCCATGCATTGTAGATCTAAATATAAAAATGAGGCTTCAAAATAACATAAAAAATGCCTTTCTTTTCTTAGGATAGACAAATATTTCTTAAATACAAAAAGCTATAACTATAATTTATGAAAAATGTTGGCACATTGAGTTATATTAAAATGAATTTTATTTCACTATAGACACAAGAAAGTGGTAAGGCACAGGGTTAGAGAAGACATACAGAGCTCTAGAACCCAAAAGTGAACACTTATCTGAATTATATTAAGAAGACTTTAAAATAGAAAAAAGACACATTTCAATAGAAAAAAGGGCAAGAATCTTGAACAGGCACTTCACAGGTGAACATATCAAAAAGACAATAGAAACATCAAGTTTCTCAGCTTCATACTTATTAGGCAAGGCTAATGAAAATCATAATGAGCGATCATACATCCTATATAACTGTATTGTTAATACTGAGCAATGGGAAGATTGTATAATGGAGAAATTCCTAGATGCTTTGGAAGTTAAGCTATGTTTAATTCTTTTGGGAAGCTGTTTGGTAGCATCTAGTATAATTAAATAAATTTGTGCTAACTCAGCAATTCAGCTTGCTGGTGCACAGAAGTATAAAACACAAAGTGAAATTCTAATAGCAGCATTATTTATAAAAAGTCCAATATCTATCAAAAGTTAAATAAGTAGATGAATAAGTTACATAAATGGATAAAGTGGAGATACTTATACAATGGCATATTACATACCAGTGAAAATAATGAACTGCTGCATGCAACTACATAGAGTAAATCACAAACATAATGTTAAAGTAAACAAGCTTAACAAAAAAAGAACATTTATTGTACAATTTCACTTATATAAACTTTAAAAAGTATAAAACCATTCTAAGGTGTCAGAAGTAAGAAGATAATTTTGATTTGCACTGGGCGGGAACACAAAGGCTGACACTATTCCTCATCATGTTCTATTTCTTGACTTCTAAGTTTGTTACGTTGGTAAATTTACTTTGTGACAAATGAATGAACTGTTCACTTATGGTTATATATTCTTGTGTACCTATGTTATAATTCAGTGAAAAAGTTTAAAATAACTTTGACATACTAAAGTGAGATTTTAATTGATCAAAACCAATAAGCTAGTCTGAAAATATACAATTTTTGAAAAGAACCTTTAGAAGTCACTTTCTGGAGTTCTTCTGTGCTCTTAAAATATCTATAATATGTTATTTGGACTCATAAAATGAAAACAAAATTAATTATTTAGATGAGTGATCTGGCTAAAGTGTCAACATAAACATTATAATATCTAATTTCAGCCTACAATCATGGATAATTAATTTTACAAGTGAAAATTGCAAATGTTGTAACAGAAGTAGACTGCCAGAACTGATTTTGGTTTGGGAATCTTATTCGAATACATTTTAATAAAGTAGAATAAATTTTACTAGAAAACTATCACATTTCAAAATTAGAAGCCCCTCATTTCACATATTGTTAAATATAACTAGGAATTATCTTGAAACGTCTTCTCTTATCTAGTCATTTCTATATACTCTCAGCCATAAAATTCATATTAATGTAAATGCATTATAAATAATTACTTTCTGAAGTAGTTCCTGAGGTTAGAAGTTTGTTTATTATGGAAAAAAGAAAACAAAACTATTGAAATTGCTACATAGAATGGTGACAATACTTCTATTTTTGTCCCTAACTCATGGTTCGGATGCCAAATAATCAAATGAATTGAATTAGGAGGCTTCAAAATATAGCTAACCTATGAATGAGGCATGTAGTCATTTTTCACTAAAATATTATAGTTCTTTTTAAATGTCTTGTTCTATATATAAAATAAAGACTAAAAGGAATATTCAGAAGAACTTTATAATGTTTATTGAGTTGAGTTACTTCACAACAGTGTACTAGCCAATCATACAAAGGTACAATTGATAACTATATTTTTATACATTTGATTATAATTATGAATTCCATTTGGATAAGCACTCAGTAGCTAACATCAGAATGATTTACATCAAGGGCTTCAAAAGTTAGCAATATTATCACTCCTCCTTATTCTTAATCACTTTCTGTATACACACATGTACACATACAGACACACACTCTCACACACACACTCACACATTCCCTGTTTCCTCTTTAGGTCTTAGCAGATTATGTAGATAGTAATAAAGTCCAAGAGAAGCAAAGGGTGTACAATAAATGTTGTGGTCATAAAGGCAAAATAGGCAATTAAGGAACAGGCTTTTATCTACTTTTTTTGATAAAATACCTAATCTGGGCTATATTAATTCTCAGTGTTTGCAGTTTTAACAACAGATATTCAAAAGGAAAATTAGCATTTACACTTATAACAAAGCTTTATTTTTTATAACAATTTATACTGTATAAAACTTTTTTATATTCCTAACCATATTGTATGTCTACAATAATCTCAAGCAGTTATTAGGGCAGGGAATATAAGTCCAATTTTATAAATGAGTAAACAATATCTCAGAGAAGTTAAGGGAACAATTCAAAGTTGTATAACTAGTAAATATAAACTGTAGCTAAAATCTTTTGATAACCAAAGCAGTGCTTTATCAATATATTAGCCATTTTCTGCATTTATTTGCCACATCACAAAAATGCCAAGAACAGTTATAACAATTGCTTAGGACTATTTGGTTCTCATCTTTGTGTCTCTTTTAAAACTGGTTTTCAGTATTTCCAACTTCATAGATGACTAGATATTGAAAATTGAAACTTAGGAAACTTTTAAATTAATCAGGCCTTAACATTGCATAATAATGAAACTAATTCAAAGTTTTTAATATGATTTTCAAAAATATAACCAGTTGAGAGAAATGAGAAATCCAATTTGCCTAAAGATTGGCTGTTGAAAAATATCAATATATAAAAATCTCAAATAAAAACAAACAGATTAATAGCAAGTTGTTGCTTCCATGAAAAGGATTCTTTGTTTTACAAAATATATGTATGCAGATTCAGTCACTAACAAATATTTGTAAATAAATAAAATGATTACAGGTACAGAAATTCAGTTCGTAGCTTACTATTCAATAGAGTATCTGCTTTGTAAGAGATGGTGGACCACAAAATACTCAATGGATTTTGGCTTTCAAGAAACAGTGGTGCTATCCAAGGTTAAGTGGATACTTGAAATTGGAATTGGATCTGGAGCTGAGATACAACTCTTACTCGGTTATTGATTTTTCTTTTCTCTCATTATTCCAAGGAGGGTGACTACCATTTTCTTACTTTATAGAGCAGTCTAGAGGAAAGGGTTAACTATGTAAGCTCTGGGGACAGAAAGTCGTATTTTCAAAATATAATAGCTATGTGACCTCGGATAGGTTTACAAAACTCTCTTGACTCTGTTTTCCTGTCTGTAAAATGGTAATAATTATAAAACTTGTCAGTCTTAAAGGGATGTTGGAAGAACTAAATGCAAGTGAAGACTTTTTCACAGTAGCTGTCACATAGTAAGTACTCAATATATTATAGCTATTATTATGGTCATTATTGTTAATATTATGTCATTTATTTTAGCTCTTTAGTGCGGAACCATAATCTCACATCCCTCAGAGTCACGCTGATCTTGTATTTTTGGTCCTTTGGCTAGTTTAGTGATTCACAAGAAACCTAGTTAGTTTGTGCATTCTTTTCCTTTCTTATATTTCTCATTTATAAAGACAGATAAACCAACTAGACTTTCAGACCTGGTGACATAAATGTCTTAGGACGAGAGCTGAGCATTTTTGCAAACTAGTTCTCAAGAAGCTGCTATCTTGACTATAATCTACTTTATAAACTCTAGAGAAAGAAAAGTTCCCAATCATACCTCACATTATTGTATTTCATGTGTTGGAAAGGAATAGAGTGTTCTTGTTTGAGAAAGTGTTGTTTTTTGAGGAGTTGTAGGAAATGAAAATAAAAATTAAAAGAATGAGATCAGAAAGTGTTCATTTAGGACATTAACTTAAAGAATTTAGATAAATGATAGCAGATGTATTTAATCTGTCTCGTATATGTTGATGGATTATTAGAAGCTTTCAAATTTTCTGAGTTAAAATGATTATAAAGACATATCTTGCCTCTTTAGTGAAACTTGTGGTAATTAATTTTCAATATGTGACTTGAAATATGGAGAATTCCATGAGATGTGTCTACAATCCTCAGCTAGACTATGTAATCAGAACTAAGGACTAGAAAAATCTCAAGTTACAGAGTCTTTGAGGAAGATTGGTTTGGTAGGCCATGTAAGGCAGATTGAAGAGGCAAAGCTAGATTAGAGAGACTGAGTCTGTTAAAATAATTCAAATTATTCACAGCATCTTTTTTGTTATTCTAAAGTACATACTTTGTGAGTGTTTGCCTAAAAGACTTACAGCTTCACTGAAGTATCTAAAATGCACTTGCAGTCTTGAAGCTTGGAACTGAAAAGCAAATGTGTCTGTCAGTCAAGATAGACTTGGTTAATTAATGTCTCACTTCAAAATCTCCAAGTCTGCAAGCAAAAAATATTTATTTCTCATTCATGATATGTGTTCACCACATGCTAACAGAGGACCCTGTCCACATCTTTACAATTGAATGGAGATGAGTCCACTGTTGTGAAATACCTTATTGTGTGTCATGATTTGATCTTCCTAACAATTCCATTCAGGTGTCGGCACAGGTGATACATTAATTATTTAATTGATTTGGAACCTGAGACTCAGACAGGTTAAGGGGATTGACCCTAGCTGTGTGGCTAGAAAGTAAAGCAGCCATCCGTCTCATTTATTCAAATCCAGTAAAGTAATTTTTTAAGCTAGTGCTTTTTCAACTTTAATGCTCACATAATTTGGGGGTGGGACTGAGTTTCTGAATTCTTAACAAGATCTCAAGCAATGTCCACACGGCTGATCCATACTTGAGTAGCAAGACTTTAGATGAATCTCACATCATTTCCTGTAACTTCTCAGACACCACAGTCTACATATTCTTGCTGCCACTCTTCCATGTTTGAAGGCCTTTTGAGGCCAAGTAGGGAGTGCAAGTTAAGTTGCACAAATGTTCTTGAAATTTGTAAAACTTTAGTAAAACTTTCCAAAATGTGCAGATGATGAAGAAAGAAGAAAATGTTATTTTGTTGTGACTGTGTAATTTGATTTACCCTTGAATTGTGATGACAGTTAACTAATGTTTATACTGGTGATGTACACTTCATCTTCCTAAGCAGCAACTCTGAATCCATAGAGGTGAGAGCTAAGGAGGGAAGGTAATTGAGTGCTGACTCAGTATCAGTTGTAAATTTCATTGTGTTTATAACACATTGATAGCTATTAAAACTGGTGTTTTGTGAAAATTACATTTATTACCTTCTTACTTAAGTTTCCACAGAGAAATCACTTTTTGCCACATGACTACACATTTGACATTTTGAATTGTTTAAGTGTAGTTCTCTATCATAAATAATATCTTGAGGTCACTGTGTGTTATTCAATTCAAAGCAAAGGGGTTGAACAAAAATATCATCTAGTTTCAAGGACGAAATAAAAGACAATGACTAAAAGAATTTATTTGGGTATGGTTAGTCAGAGGGTCTTTAGGGAAAATTTGTTTGAAATTTTGATGATGAAGTCACCTGGCAGACTCTGAAGAGACACATCAATCAGGTTTGACACACTGCTGATTGCACCATTAAATCACCATCATGGAGTTGATTTGTCTCATCAGGGGAAATGAAAAAAATTGTGATGGTAAACTCTTTCTCAAATTTTCTTACTGAAGCTTCTCCAAATAAATTTTTATTTTGCATTGAGCCAAGCTAATTGACCATAACACTCTATCTTCAGTAACAAGATATTTAGGCTGGGCACTATGCTTCCTTAAGCAGGGTCAAATGACTATTTTTAGCAAGCTGAGGAAACATTCATGATATTAGCTCTCCAGAAAGATATTTGATGAACTACAGGACATTTTGACTTTACATAGGAAAAGAGAAAAAAGTTAAAAGTTATCATAGGCTATTGGACAGATTACTAATTGTCCATAAAACCTACACTTGAGTTGATGTTATAACTTAGCACCCATGGAGAATGTCAGAAGTTGACTTTTGGTTTATTTTATAATCTAAATATTTGTGACAATGAAAAGCATAGGTATACAAATATCATTTTTCATATTTTGACATTCTAGCACACAAGTAATTCAGATACAATTATTTATTTATTAGTGAAAAACAAATCTGAGATCCTACTCAATTCAAAACACTAGAATAGGTATTATGGGGATAACAGACAGTATATTGGTAATAATTGTCATCATTACAATGGTAATTATATTTCTTCTAAGTTCTTAGGTGTATTAAAAAAACCTATCAATAACTATAATAAATAAGATGGTACCAATTTATATGTATACCAATTATTTATGAAAGTGGTCATTTTACCACAAATATCAGTACTATTAATATTATTTTACCTTTTCTGAGATATAGAGAAATCTCATTTTAAAGAAGTTTCATCATACATGTTCTTACATTTTATTTTGTGAGTTGCTTTTTTATTTCAGAAATGCTTTCATCTTTTTCAAAGAATATTTAAATGTCTAGACAGTAGTAGATTGGGTTTTTGAGGTATGTTCTCTAAATGTTTATGGTACAACAATTGAAATATTACAGAAACTCTTTCAGAAAAGAGAAAAGGAGAAAAAACTTTCCCACTATTTTCATGTAGTCCGTATAACCAATGACCTAAATCAGACAAATCTAGTGTAAGAATTTTAAAAACGTTCCAGGCATGGTGGCTCACACCTGTAATACCAGCACTTTGGGAGGCCAAGGCGGGCAGATCACGAGGTCAGGAGATCGAGACCATCCTGCACAACATGGTGAAACACCACCTCTACTAAAAATACAAAAATTAGCCAGGCATGATGGCAGGCGCCTGTAGTCCCAGCTACTCGGGAGGCTGAGGCACGAGAATTGCTTGAACCCAGGAGGCTGAGGTTGCCATGAGCCGAGATCACCACTGCACTCTAGCCTGGCAACAGAGCAAGACTCTGTATCAAAAAAAAAAAAAAAAAATTAAAAAAATGTAGATCAATCTCACTTATAAATGCAAAAGCTCTAATACAGACTATAATCATGTAATAAAAGTGGAGATAACCCCAGTAATAAAAGGATAATATTGGATATTTAAAAAGAAAGTTAAAAAAAGTTTGATCACATCAATAGACACAAATAATCACATTTGATAAAATTAGTACATATTCTTGATAAAAACTGTAGCTAACAAGGAATATCTTCAACAAAGGAAACACTTTCAACATGTTCAATGATAATAAAGAATAAATGCTAAACATTCATAATACGTATTATAATTACTGGTAAAATATTAGAAGCATTCTGTTAAAATTTGACAATAGTTAAGAATGTTTGCTTCCTTGATTACATTCAGTATTATTGCAGTATGCCCTAGCAAGTAGAGTAACACAGGAATAATTAATAAAATATACAAGGAAGGAATAGAATTATCATTATTTATAGGTGATAAAATTTTTTATACAAAAATGTATGAGAAAATACAGCATCTTTGGCATTAATTTTATATATCTATATATAACAATCAATTTCATTCTCATAGTCACAAAATTATTAAAAATGTAATTTTTAAAATTATGTCTTTTATTGTAACAACAAAAATAATGAAATGAAAGCTACTATGTGTAAAACTGACAAAATATTTAATAGAGAAATTAATTAGTTACTAGACATTTGCAAAATTCTAAATAAATGAACAGGTGTCCTTAAAATGAACTGACACCATGGTAATTTTTAAAACTTATTATCATAAAATGATTAATTTTCCCCAAATAGCTTAAGAATTTATTGGAACTCTATTCAAAATCCTGACAGAGTTTTCCATAGACATTGTTAGGTGATTCTGACATTTGTCAAGAAGAGTAAAGAACCAAAAACTGCCCCAAATTTTTTTAACTAAAAGAAAAAAGCAAGGATGCTTGTCTTACTAGATACCAAGATTTACTGTTAGTTGTATAAAGGCCCATGGATAGATATATTGATTAACTAGTGAAAGACAGAATTGAAGAAAACACCTTCATATGTTCAGCATCTTACATTTGGCTTATACTCAAAGAGTGTATTATTTAATAAATGATCTTTAGGCAACTAGTTATCTATATCAAAATTGATTTACTTTGGGAATAACATAAGAAATTACATGGAAATTAAGCTAAATGTGAAAAAAAATTACTATTTTTAGAAGAGAAGTGAATGTCTGTAATGCTGGTGTAAATTTTATTGTTGTTTTTAAAGAAAACAGTACCAGTTATAAAGGAAAATGTTGATAATTTGATTGCATTAAATTTGTGAAAAAAGAACTTCTGTTCATCTAAAGGCATGATAAAAACTGAGAAGATAATCCACAAACTTGAAGAAATATTTGTCATGCATGTAATCATTATATGTAGACAGCTTCTAAAATTAATAAGAAAAGACAATAGAAAAATGAGCAAAGGGCATAAATAGATAACTCACAAAATACAAACCCTGAGTGTCCAAAATCCAAAAGGTTATTCAACATTAACCACAATCAAACTGATGTGAATTAAAATCACAACAAAATACCATGGATGCCAATCAGATGGGGAGAAAAAGGGCTCACAGCACCTACTATTGGAAGGAAATATGAGAAACAGGGACTCATCCTTTCGAGGTGGGAGGGCAGTAGCACTCTTTGAAAATGCAATTTATGTGTTACTTAAGAAAGCTGAAAAGGCCGTATTTCCTAAGCCAAGCACTTTCACTCCTAGGTAATTTCTTTCACGTGACACAATGAGACATCAACAGGGTTTGCAGTAGTAAAAACGAGAAACAGTAATCAATATTACTACTGCTTATCAATACCTGGTTCTCTTTTCCTTTTTGAGTCTATAGAACCTACTTTTCTCAGCTGAACATGACTGGTTCTAGCCAGCAAACATGGGATGGAAGTGAATAGCATAATTTCCCTGTTTCACTCCCCATTGCCACAGTGGCCACAATTTTCCAGGTAGAAAACCTTTATCACTTGGATCTCTGAGTACACTGTGGAGCTGAGCATCTCCTTAAGCTATAGTAGACTCTATCTAAGCAAGAAAAAAACTTTTTTTCTGGTATTTTGGGGTTGTTTTCCTATTCCAGTAAAAACCTAGCCTTTCCTAACTGATACAACTTAAATGTCATCCACAGGAAAATTAATCAATAAATTGTAGAACACCAGTAAAATGAGATACTATACCACTATGAAATAATTAACTAGAATTATACATCAAAACATAAAAAACTCAGTGTGGTTCCATGCACCTATAGCCCCAGCTTGAGCATAGGAGTTCAAGTCCAGATGGGGTAGGAAATGGACAGAACTTATTTTCCAGCCCCAATGGGATGAAGTGAAGAAGCTGGCAGGAACCAGCAGATGGAGACAAAAGTGATCCCTAGTTGCCCCCATTGGTTATTAGCATAAAACATTCCCACTAGTGCCATGACAGTTTACAAATACTATAGCCATGACCCAGAAGCTACTGCCTCTTTCCATTGAAATGACCCAGAAGTTACTGCTTCTTTCCTAGAAAATTCTGAATAACTCACCCCTCAATTTGCATTAATCCACACTTTAATTTGCATGTAATTGAAAGTGGAAATAAGTGGCCATAAATACAGTTGCCAACAGTCATAAGTGGCTCTGAGCACACTCCCTGTGAGTTAGCAATGCTCCACAAGGAGCAGTTCCAGTCAATAAAAGATCGTTGTTTAACACCATCAGCTCACCCTCAAATTTTCTTCTAGGTGAAGCCCAGAAGCCTCCTGGGCTAAGCCTCAATATTGGGGCTTGTCTGCCTGCTGGCATTACAGACTGGGCAACACAGCAAGACTCCAATCTCTACAACACACACAAAAATACAAAAACAAATCAAAGCATGAACAAAGCTCTCCAAAATAATTATGAGTGTAGACATGTGCTAGCTTCCGTGGGTCAGGGGTTAGGGTGGTAGTTAGCTCTCCATGTCAGCTGATCCAGTGCCTAAGAGTAGCAACAGAGACTAGGTCTGGGTGTGGGCACTCTTTGAGCAGTTCTAGCTCCAGAGTCATGGCATGCATAGAATTAGGAGAGGTGAAAGCTTCTTTTCCAAAGTGGCTCGACAGCTGCTACTTCTTAGGTAGGGATCGGGTGTGGGGCCATGTCTCCCTCTCTAAGGTTCCCCAGCAGGAATGGCTGTTGGTAACCGATGGCAAGAGATGCCAGTGTCCTCTAAGAAGCAGGCCATTGGGACTAGGGTAGTTCTTGGCATGTGGTAGATGTCACTGGCTTCTGCCCTTCTTTGCTCCTAGCTTTCTCTTGGCATCTCAAGTTTGCCAATCTTCACCAGGAATTCTGTCTATATGCTCCTTCTCTCTTCTTTTCCTTTTCCTTTTTTCATTTTCCTATTGTGTTTCTGCAGATTCTTTCATGCTCCTTTGAGCCCTCTGAGCTATTTTAATTTGTAAATAGCTGTTTAAATTTGTTTTTATGTGTGTGTAGGAATGAAGACTGATTTCTCTTACTTTGCCTTCTTGGTAATATCTTTTTATAATATAAATAAGATTTTCCTGATCTTGGAAAGTTGTGCATTATAAAATTTACCTTAATTAATTTGAGAGTTTGTGAGTGATATGGTTTGGCTCTGTGTTCCCCCTCCAATTTCATCTTGAATTGCAATCCCCACGTGTTGAGGGAGGGACCTGGAGGGAGGTGATTAGATCATGAGGGCAGTTTCCCCTATTCTATTCTCATGATAGTGAGGGAGTTCTTATGAGATTTGATGGTTTTTAAAAGTGACAGTTTTCCCCTGTGTACTCTCTCTCTCTCCTGCTGTCTTGTGAAGAAGGTGCCTGCTTCCCCTTTGCCTTCTGCCATAATAGTAGGTTTCCTGAGGCCTCTCCAGCCATGCAGAACTGTGAGTCAATTAAACCTCTTTTGTTTATAAATTATCCATTCTCAGGTAGTTTCTTTATAGCAGTGTGAAAATGGACTAATACAGTGAGTATGTTTAACTTTTGCTTTATTTTTATGTTTTTCAGCCCCAGGACCCTTGCATGCTTTATTTTTAAATATTCTCTTTGATATATTGATATTCATTTTTCTATACTTCTTGAGTTACTCCAAATAATTTAGCCCTCAAATCACTGTATTATTTTTATGGTTGTTTAGACAGAATATGAAGTAAACACTTGAAAATACAATAGCTGAATTTGTCATTGAATTTCAAATGCTTATAAGTATGATCAGAACAGAAGGCTAGAATAAGGTATTAAATTCACACTGTATAAACATTTTCTCATACACACATATTCAAAGTGTTGATCATAAAGAAGCACAAACATGCTTATTAAATACTTTCTTCTTGAATAACCTGTGACTAATACTGTCAGGTAATTGTTCCTCACAATAGTTACTTCACATGTGAAAATTTACCTTTTTCTAGTTTGTATTTTATAGTCAAAGCTCAAGACCTTAGGATATTTCTTTTTACATTTGTAAACATTTTTTATGACTCTGCTATTCTGACAAAAAAAAAAACCCTTAAATTTTGGTGCAAATATCTCATAGAGGATAGCAGACAACATGACAAAAAATAATGAACATTCCCTATTTTCCATGCAGTGATTTTTCAACAATTGTTCAATTTATGGGAATGATGGTAGATAAATGAAATAGTTAATTCCTGAAGGTTTTCCATTATTCTGTAATTTAAAAGCAAAAAGAGCGATTGTTATTTAACATTAACAATCATGAATTCTCATTCTTCATTGAGTGTGGTGACAGTTCTAACTCAGTACCTACTTTAAATTTCTGGTGTTTAGTCACAGATGCCTTTCATAGCTGTTGAAAAGTATAAATAAATCTTTGAAGTAATAAAATAGTTTGCTATAGGGATAACTTAGTGATATCGCTTCAGAATAATTTAACTCCTTTGAACCAGAAGATCAAACATTTTACCATTAATCCTTTAAATTGTGTCTCATGCCATTTATTCAGATTTTGACAAGGTCTTAAAAGGGTAAGTTTCTATGTACTTCATATGAATATTGAATATTTTGAATATTGCTCAAGACTATAGAATGTTCGCTAGTATTGTTTTATGTCCAGCAAGGCATAAGAGCAAATATCTTAATATTAGTGAGTTAATCACCAGAAATATTTATGCAGTATTTAATATATAGATGCCAATTTCCAAGGTAGCATCTGCATGCAAAAATCCTATCTTTAAGGATCTTGCTGAAATTTGTAGAATAAATCACAATAAATTTCCATTGAGTTCTTCCCTATGCCACACATTTTACTGAACATTGAATGTACAGCAACTGAGTTGTCATTCAACATTTTTGCCTTCACAATACTGAAAGTATATAGAATACTCAAATAATTGGAACGTGATCAGGTAATATTTCAACAACAGAAGGATTCCTTTAATAATTTAATTTTAAAGTGCGAAATATAATGTAAATGAATTCAAACTGGTGTGTCATTGAGGTATGGGTGTTATTGCACAAACATTCAAAGACACTGTTTTATACCAGCCTACATAAAATACTAATTAATTAATTAAACACTAATTAATGAAACATTATTTAATTAACTTTAATAATTAAAACATGTTTATTACTTTGATAATGTTCTCAAATCTTTGAATCTGTGATTTTAGATGAGAGAAAGTATAAACATTATCAAAGCTTTTTTTGACATATTTCCACCAGGGGGCACTACCCACATTTAATGTAAAAATTTAAACCCTTTCTGAGTTACAAATGTTTCTGACAAATATTTGGCTTCAGATGATTTATTTGTAAGTAAAAAAGTTAAACTTTTGAGTGAAAATGCAATGTTATATTTCCAATATATTTTCCACAATAACTTGGGCAGATATTAGGTTACAAAATCCTGTTTATGAAATCAAAAAATATAGAATGTATTATTTTATTCAAATTATTCACTAAAATTCAGTTGGAGTCAGCAGGAATGAATTCATTATCTACCAAATATTTAAAAAATAGTTTTCTTAATTGTAGCTTGTATTTTGGATTTAAGTCCTTGTTACAGTAAAAGTTATAAATTTTAATTCAAATGAATAAAAATAATCTAGGGATTTTGTTGAGATAGGCTACATAAGAAAAATAAACTGTATTCTTTCTGCCTATTCATCAGACCCTAGTTTCCTCTGATTTCATTAATATGTTAAGTTTGTGCTACTTTTATTACAATTCATTTCTTTATTATAGGAATTAAATGCTTCCTTACCATAAAGACGTAAATGTTAGTATTTATAACTCCTAGAATTAAAAATATTCCCTGTGCTTAAAAAGTTGATATTTAGCTTGCATTTGTTTTCTATTTTTGTATCTATAAGAAAATACATGTGATTATGTGGCTTTTTTTTGAATAACCTAACTAAAACATTCGTTATTACAGTTGTTTAAAATAGAGATTATGTCTGTAGTTTTAATAAAAGACTATCACTACGAAGGTAACACAAGTAGCAGCAGATATCCACAGTGTAAAGTATGGATAATTGCAATGCTTAAAAGATCCGTTTTAAGATAATAAGTAGGAATGCAGGGGTCTATGGCTTAGATCAAGTGAATGTATGCTTCAAATTGTTAATCTCTTAAATGCTGAAAAGCCTGTCTCTTTTAAATGACAAATTGGTTACAAGGTTCTCTGTAAATCATCAGGCTGATAACCCTTTGATTTCTTAATCTTTGTAATGTTGCTGTAACTGTAGGACTGGAATTAACATTATCTTGAAAGTTTCGAAATTCAATCAATCAAAAAAAACAGGGCCTTATTCAGCATCTGTAAGATGCTCAATTCTGACATGTTAGAAAATTCTACTATGTAATTCTACTATGTATTAGAAATTTTCTACTATGTAGAAAATTCTACTAAGAGAATTTGAAACTTAAACTCCTTCCAGTCAAACCCTACTCTTCAATACCTGTTCTGTATAAAACTATCAGCTTTCCTTTTAATTGGTCATAGAAAAGCCATTTGCTTATTCAAACAAGCAGTTATTATTAATTTTGAGGGAGTGTAAATGGTTGTTCATTTTATATATTTTACTTGAACAAGAACAAACTAGGAGAAGAATGGTGAAATATGGCTATAGATTAGGTATATGTTAGTGATTTTAGACTGCATTTTATATTTATTTATCTATTCCACATTTTTGAAGTCTTACTATGTAGCAAGTACTATGTTGTGCACTGGTGATATAATGGAAAATAACACAATGTTTTCGAAGGGAGTTTTAGTAAAGGATTCAAGGAAGAGTGAGAAAATAATGAGTTCACTTCCTCAAAATTTAATATTCTGATATTTAAAATGTGTGTAATCATGAAATACTATGCATTGTCTACATAGTGCACACCCTTTAAGCTATAAAATTTTAGCCCTGTACATTGTCTTTTAGTTATTTTGCAACTCTGTAAATTATAGGTAAATGATTAACAGGCAGATTCTGTCATATCTGGTAGAAATTCAAATGCCTTCCCACCTCCAGCTTCCCCATCCTCATGGAAAAACAGTTTAACCTCTATTTGCACATTGATATCAATATAACTTTATGCTATATAAATTTGCTTCCCTCTGGTTCCCTCATGAGTAAAAACTCTTTAACGCAGGTTCATTTTTATATGGTTTGGATTGTGTCCCCGCCCAAATCTTATGTCAAATTGTAATCCCAAATGTTGGAGGAGGGGCCTGGTGGGAGGTGATTGGATCATGAGGGCAGATTTCACTCTTGCTATTCTTATGATTGTGAGTGAGTTCGCATGAGATCTGGTTGTTTAAAAGTGTGGAGTACCTCCCTCTTCTCTCTCTTCCCACGGCTCCAGCCGTTTCCCCTTTGCTTTCGGCCGTGATTGTAAGTTTCCTGAGGCCTCCCTAGCCATGCTTCCTGTACAGCCTGTGGAACTATGAACCAATTAAACCTCTTGTCTCTTTAAATTGCCTAGTCACAGTTATTTCTTTACATCAATGTGCAAACAAGGTAATACAATTTTTATCTGTTTGAGAGTCACAATCTTACTCTTTTTTGAAAGTTACCCTTTAACACGATATATAGATTGGATATGAGAGTTTGGATTTCAGAAGTTTGTTGATAGAAGGTACCTGAATTCACAGGAGCAGATGAGATCCCCCAGAGAAAGTGGATATAGGGGTAAAAAAAGTTGGATAAAGAATGGTGAGGAAGATTACAATTTAAAAAGCAAGATTTGGAAGGATTCCTTTTTATCAAACATTTGTTTCTTACTTGAATTCTACTAAAAGAAATGTAATTTTTATTTCTAAATGCATGCTAAGGTTTCTGGAGTAGAAAGTCCTAAAATACATTGCCATAGCAATTTAGAATGCCAGATTTTTAAAGCAGAATTTGTAAACTAAGGCACATCTAGAACAGCAGTTTCAACCTTGGCTGCACATTAGAATTATTTGTGATTTTAAAATACTGATGCCTTGATTCTGTCAAAGAACGCCCTATATGTCCCAGCCAATAGACAAAATGGACTCCCTGTGGCTGAGTTAAAATAGAACCACGTGGCTATAGCTGGGATGGGACCTCTCTCACCTCCACTAGCTGTTTCAAAGAAACATCTGACAGAGACTTCTGATTTTGGAATCAATCAGAGCTTACCTGCTCCATCCAATCAGAGCTTAGCTATGTTTACCAATTAGAACTAAGCAAGTTTGAATCCTTCATTTGCATAAACAGACTTGATTGGGAACCTTTATGGACACATTTGCTATAAAATCCAGATTCTCCTTTGTTTCTCTGAAATGCATCTTCATTTTATGTGAAAGCTGTGTCTCCCTAGTGTGTAAACTGTTCACTGGAATAAAGTGTCTTTTGTCCACATTTCCCTTGAAGGAACTTTTGTTCACAATTGTCTCCCCAGAGATTTTTGTTTAGCTAATTCAGGGTGGGGCCTGGGCTCTGGGATTTTTAAGAAGGTAATTCTAATGTGCGACCAAAATTGAGATGCACTGGTCTAGATAGGAATAGTCAGGATGCTGAAAGCCATGAAAGAGATAATGAGGAATCCTTCAGGATATGGTATGGGAGGGAAATGGAAGGAATAAGTCTGTCAGAAAGAAGATTCCAAGGAAATGTAGCTGTCTTCAAATGTTGAAGGGTTTTCATGCAAGTCTTTATTCTGTTCTATACATGTAGAAATGAGACATTAAATGGAGATAGTTTAGGCTTACACAAGAAATCTCAAATGACCTAAAATGTATTAAAATAGCATAGATTTATTTGCAAAACAGCTAAGTCAACACTGAGACATTTTAAGGGATATCTAACATAGATTTTCCTTTACTACAATCTTATAAATTTGTCTGAACTAGTCATCTCCTTCAAAGCCAAAGATTGACTACACTTAGTGGTTCTGTGAAAATAATTTGAAATGTACCATTGAATATATTAATTATCTTTGGAATGTAATAAATACCTCATGTCCTCAGATTCAATCATGATAAATCCCTTACCATCAGCTGTCTCTTTCTCAAGGTCAAGATAAGACTAGTCCCATAAAACACAAGTGTCTCAATCAGGCTCTGGTGACCAGTTAGAAGAAGGACTCTAAGGAGCTGACTAGGCAGATACCTTACCTTTAAAAAGGAGAAGAGTCGAATGCTACTGAGCAGGATATCCAAAAAGCCTTCAGATTACAGAAGTTATGTTGGGATCATCCTTCATGTTAAAGAGATATCCACACTGCTGTTTCTGTTCTGGAAGAATCTATCGCAGTATAACAACAACAAGAAAGACAAAGACTTTAAGAATAATCTACAGCACATTCAACAGAAGGTATCTTGAGAAACCTGGGCAGAAAGTGGTACAGAGGGGGGCGGTGCAAGATATAATGAATCTTGGCACAAAAACTCTAAGGACAATAATAATTCCTTCTCCTGCTACATTTTTCCTAAGTACACAGAGCAGAATGGCCTGTTGGGTTATAAAAGACTCTTCTAGTCACGCCGGCTACTCCAGTCCTAATCACTGTCAGTAGTGCCTCTTCCAAATAAAAGCCAGCATTGCCTTATATTTTTCACACAAATAATTCACTTTCTTATTTTTCTGTTTTTGTAAACTATCAGTCTATTAAGTTTCTCATATATTGTATAGAGAAGTAATTCATATAGTTATTCTTCCTTCATAATTTGTTTCTGAATTTGTATTTATTTACACATTTTGGATATTTCTTTTGAAATTTTACTTGCCTAAGTACCCAGACACCCTTTGGATGTTAATTTACTCTATATTGACTAGTCTTTCTCTCTCTCCGTTGGATATTGTGTTTTTTTGGTTTGTTTGTTTACCAAATCAACTTTTATAGTTAAATATTGCTGCATATTGAACTGTGCTCAGTTGAGAACGACTAACAAGGTTTATGATCAGCCTAGAGTAAAACTTACTAGACCAGCACACTAAGCGTACTGTGTGTTTCACTATAATTTAAGGAAATATAAATTAAACTCTTCACTCATTTTGCAAGGAAGACAAATAAACCTCTTATGCTTTTAAGCTCTTTTTTCCATTAAATGAAGAAAATGGTTAGTTTTTTAAATTAAATTGTTGCTTTAATAAAAGCATTGTTAGTCCAAACTCCATACTGAATAGAGACTCATAATTTTATTATACTATAAATTATTAAATATATTACTTAATGCTGATATTAATCTTTTGATGATATATACATAAAATATGTGACAAAACTTTAATCAACAGAAATGTATATAGGATAGAAAAACAAATAATCCTTCTTTGGGCCGTCTCCCCCTTTCTCCCTTCCTTCTTCCCTCCCTCCCTTTTCTGCTTTTGCACATGCTTTCATTCCTTCTTTTACTGTTTTATTCCCTCCTTCTCTTATTTTTCATCTGTTTCTAAGTTTTCTTCTTTCTATCTTTGGCTTGACTTAGAACATAAAAAATTCTGGTCTTCCTGAAGGCGAGTTTTCTTTAATGGGAATATGCTCACCAATGTAAAAATTAGACACATTTGTGTAATGAAGAACTCCTCTCTGAACTACTATTCTTCTGTCTTTATCTTTCTTTTCTTTCTATTTATGATATTAGTAATTACATCTACAATGTTAAAACTCTCTGCCTTTCAGTTTCCAATGGGCTTGTTCACACCCACCTAGTTTGAATGCCTTTTCAGTCTCCTTTTTGGCTTCTTATGATCCTTCCTCATGCCTTCTCCATTTCCTACCCAGAGGCTCTCTTTTTCTTTTTTTTTTCTCTCAAACTCAGGGATTTAATTTTTATTTTTAATCTAGTAGCTCAGGATTTCTAATCTCCTGATAATTTGATTCCATGTTAAGCTGCTTACCCAATTCCAATTACCCACAGGTTACTTTAGTTTCTATGACGCCTTATCTCTTCTTTCCCATGGAGAAGCACGTCAGGTTACTAATCTCTCTAAGACTGTTTCCTCACTTATAAATTAAAAAGAATAATAGTACTTGCATCATAGGATTATTTAATATAAAATAAGATGATTCATTAACACCACTTTTAAAAGTGCCTGGCACTGTGTGGCTGGTACATGGTGAATGCTCAATAAATAATACCTGATATTTCAGTTGCTATGGTTGTCGTGATGTCACTCTCCTAATATGGGTATCTGATTACTTTATCCCTAGAATATAAAAATATTTTCTAATTGGATTTATTATTTTAAGTTGTCTGTTCAATTTATTAGGGATTGTACTTAAAAAACAATCTTCCTAAAATGCTACTTGTATTATTCCACTCTATGCTCAAAAAAAGCTTGAATGGGTCTTGATTTCTGATTGTCTCAAGTATCATTACCTACATTACGTTTTTTTTTTCTGACCATGGTGATACTTCTTGAATTATCATTTCTTATCATGAGAAATTCTAGAATGTGCATATTTGACCTTTTTAACTTTTCTGTGTTTTCAAATTGCATTTCAGAATAAGTTAATCTTTAGTCACTTCTATTGAGAATATTTGTTTGAAATAGGAACCAAGTGTCAGGAAGGAAAAAAATGAAGGTAAAGTATGACACAGCATATTAGATATTTGTGTTTGTTTGCAAAAGAGCCATGAGGGCAATAAAGTAAATAAAGCTAGAATTATTTAGATCTCTTGAACTACACTTTAAAATATTTTAGGAGAGAGAAAGCAGAGCCACATAAGAAAAGCGATTGGAATGTACCCTAATAAATTTAATTGGTTGCAATATAGTTAAAACTATATAAAACAGGGCGCTTAAAAGGGAAAAGTGGTGAAAACTATAGGCAAACAACAACAACAAACTTTTCACTTAAATTGAAGACAGCAAATTGAATACCATATGTTTTAAAATTTAAGCCAGACTAGACTGTATGAAGCATCATTCTTTCAAAGAATAAACACCCTTCAGTTAAACAATGAAACATGTTTTGTTATTGCTTAGAAATTTTTATATTTTTAAGGAGATCTTTTAAGCTTAGTTTAACACAAATTTCATTATACACTTTTGTGCATACATAAAAAGGAAAATAAGCAACTAAATTGTTTAACGTGATGCTAAATTGTTAACATTCAGAGGCTAAATTATTTTTTCAACTCACAATGATTGTGATTTTTTCACACCAGATGGTCTGTTCTGTTATCAAATGTATTGGTGATGCAGGAGTTTTTTTAAAAGTTCCATAAAATATTAAACTTGGCAGTGTGTGCTCTAAAACAGATTTTACAATTGTGCAGAGCTAGCAGGCTTTGCAATTACCTAGAGTTAGCCTACTTTTGATTTCTGTTACAGTACTGTTCATAAGCATTCGTAATCACTACATTTCTCATCTCTTTCTCACTATCATTTTGTTTCTAAAGGTTAATAGATTACTTTATTATCACGGATTGTGTAGTTTTACAAATTGGAACATAGTAGGCAGGATTTGTTATTGAAGTATCTACTATGTGAGCTGCTCTAGTAATGAAAAATTCATGAGATTGTTGCCTGCCCAACAGTAATGGTGAAACATCTTCAACTGTAAGATGCCATCTGATTGAAAGTTATAGCTCAATTTCATGCAACATTAGGAGTCATATCATCTTCTCCCCGCCCCCCGTGTGTTAGGAACAATGCCACAGAGAGAGTATACAACCCCTGCGATATTGAAAATAATATCATTCTCTCTTCCTCTGGGTATTAGGAAAAATATCAAAAAGGGTGTAAATTTTCTGTGATATTGAAAGTAATATCATACTTTCCTCCCTTCATAATAAAAACGATATCACAGGGGGGTGTAAACTCCCCACGATATTAGGAATAATATCACCCTCTTTCGCCTACATATTGAGAACAATATCACAGGGGGTTTGCACACCCCGTGTGATATTGCAGGTAATATCATCCTCTCTCAACCTGGATAATAAAAACAATATCAGAGGAGAGTGTACACGCTGTGCGATATTGGGAGTAATATCATCCTCTCTTCTCCTAAATATTAGAAACAATATCACAGGGGGAGTGTACACCTCCTGCGATATTGAGAATAATGTCATATTTCCCCCCAAAATATTAGAAATAATATCACAAGAAGCTGGGGTACAGCCTCTGCTTGCCTGGGGGCAACATTATCCTCTCCCCTCCTGGATATTAGGAGGAATATCACAGAGGGGTGTACAGCCCCTGTGATATTGAAAGTAATATCATTCTCTCCACTGAAAATTAGGAACAATATCACAACGGGTGTGTAAACCTTCTGCGATATTGGGAGTAATATCATCCTCTCTCCGTCTGGGTATTAGGAACAATATTATTGGGGGATATACACCACTTGTGATGTTGGGAGTCATATCACCCTCTCGCCCCCCGATATTAAAAACAATATCACAGGAAAGTTGTACACCTGCTGCGATATTGGGATATTACTCCCAATATCCTCTCTCCCTCACTAATGTTTGGAAAAATATCACACTGGGGGTGTACACCCCCTCCAATATTGACAGTAATAATATTATCTCCCCTCCTGGATATGAAAAACAATATCACAGGGGAGGGGTCTACATTTCCTGCAATATTGAAAGTAATATCATCCTCTTCCTCCCTGAGTATCAGGACTAATATCAGAGGGTGGGTGTACACCTTCTGCGATATTGAGAGTAATATTATCCTCTTCCCCCCATAGATATTAGAAACAATATCACAAAGGGGAGTGTACACCCCCTACGATATTGGGAGTAATATCATCCTCTTACTGCCTGGATATTAATAACAATATGACAGGAGGGTTTACACCTCCTGCGATATTGGGAGTTGTATCATTCTCTCTTCCACTGGATACTAGAAACAACCTCCTGGGGCGGGAAGGGTGTACACTCCATACGATATTGGGAGTAATATCATCCTCTCCCATCCTTGATATTAGGAACAATATCACAGGGGGCGTGTAAACCCTCTGTGATATTGACAGTAACATTATCCTCTTCTCCCCTGAATATTAGAAACAATATTTCAGGAGGAGTGTACACCCCTTGCGATATTGTGAGAAATATCATCCTCTTCCACCCTTGATATTAGGAACAGTATCACCAAGCGGGTGTACACTCACTTCAATATTGGGAGTAATATCATCCTCTCTTCTTCTAGATATTAGGAAAAATATCATGGGGGGGAGAACACTCCCTGCGATATTGGGAGTAATATCATCCGCTCCTTCCCTGGATATTAGAAACAATATCACAGAAGGAGTTAACACCCTCTGGGATACTGGAGTGATATCATTTTTTCCCTTCCTGGATGTTAGCAACAATATCACAGGGGGATGTTCACTTCTGCGATGTTGGTAGTAATAGCAGCCACTTAACCATAGGATATTAGGAGCAATATCACCTAAGGGGTGTACACCACCTACGATATTGGGAGAAATATTATCTTCTCCCCCCTGGATATTAGGAACAATATCACAGAAGGGGTGTACACCCTCTACGATATTGAAAGTAATATCATACTCTAGCTCCCTTTATATTAGGAACATTCTCACGGGTGGAGGGGACCCTCCCTGCGATACTGGGAGTAATATCATTCTTTCCCTCACTGTATATTAGGAACAATATCACGGGGGGGTGTACACCCCATGCGATATTGCAGGCAATATCATCATCTCCCAACCTGGATATTAAAAACAATATCACAGGGAAGTGTACATGCCCTGCGATATTGGGAATAATATCATCCTCTCTCCTTTTTGATATTAGGAATAATATCACAGGAAGAGTGTACACTTCTGCAATATTGAGAGCAATATTATTATCTCTTCCACCCTGGATATTAGAAACAATATGACAGGAAAAGGTATACAGCTCTTCCGATATTGGGAGTCATATTATCTTCTGTGTCCCTGGATATTAAAAGAGTATCACGGGGGAAAGTACTTCCCCTGTGATATTGAAAGTAATATCATCCTTTCTTTTACTGGATATTAGGAACAATATCACAGGGGGTGTGTACACCTTCTGCGATATTGGGAGTAAGGTTATCTGCTTCCCCCCTGAATATTAGGAACAATATCAGAGAAAGGGTGTACACCCCTTACTATAATGGGAGCAATATCATCCTCTTCCCTTCTGGATATTAAGAACAATATCACAGTAGGAGTGTACACCACCTGCGATATTGGAAATAATACCATCCTCTTTATTCCTGGATATTAAGAACAGTATCACAAAGGGGGTGTACGTCCCCTGCGATTTTGGAAGTGATATCATTTTTCCCCCCGGATATTAAAAACAATATCACAGGAAGGTTGTACGTACCCTGCGATATTGGGAGTGATATCATCCTCTCCCCTGCTGGATACTAGGAACAATATCACAGGGGTAGATTACACCCCCTGCTATATTGGGGGTAATATCATCTTCTTTCCCCCTAAATCATAGAAGCTATATCACGGGGGGTGTAAAACCACTGCGTTATTGAAAGTAATATCATCCTTTTTCGCCCAGGATATTAGAAACAATATTACAAAGGGGTTGTACACCCCCTTTGATATTAGGAGTAGTATCATATTCTCCCCGCTTGGATATTAGAAACAATATCACGGGAGGGTTGTACACCATCTGAGATAGTGAAAGTGATATCATCCTCTCTTCCCTTGGATATTAGGAACAATATCACCGGGGGAGGGTGTAGATCCCCTTCGATATTGGGAGTAATATCATTTTCTCCCAAACGAAATATTAAGAATAATATCACAGAGGAGGCTTTTCCCTCCTTGGGATATTGAGATTAATATCATCCTATCCACCCCCGGATATTAAGAAAAATATCAAAGGGAGGTGTACACCCCCTGGGATATTGGAAGTAATATCATCCTCTCTCCACCTAAATATTATGAAAAATATCAAAGGGGGAGTGTACACTGCTTCGATATTTGGAATCATATTATCCTCTCGCCTTTGTATATTAGGAAAAAATATCAAAAGGGGTTTTGTACTCCCCATGCGATATTGCAAGTAATACCATCCTCTCCCAACCTGGTTATTATAAACCATATCACAGGGGAGTGTACACGCCCTGCAATATTGGGAGTAATATCATCCTCTTATCTCTTGAATATTAGGAACAATATCACAGGGGGAGTGTACACTCCCTGCGATATTGAGAGTAATATTACTTACCCCATTCTGGAAAGTAGAAACAATATCACACGGGGTGTGAACAGCGCCTGTGATATTAGAAGGAATATTATCCTTTCCACTCCTGGATATTAGGAAAAATATCACAAAGTGGTGTACACCGTCTGTGATATTAAAAGTAATATCCTCTCCAGTGGACATTAAGAACAATATCACAGGGGGTGTGTAAACCACTTGCTTTATTAAAAGTAATATTATTTTCTCCTTCCTGGGATATTAAAAACAATATTACAGGAATGTTGTACACCTTCTGCTATATAGGGAGTAATATGATTTTCCCTCTCCCTGGATATAAAGAACAAAATCAAAAGAGGGGTGCATACCCCTTGCAACATCGAGAATAATGTTATCATTTCCCCTCCAGGATATTAGGAAAAATATTACAGGGGCTTTGTACAACCACCGCAATATTGGTAGTAATATCATCCTCTTTCCCTCTGAATATTAGGAAAAATATCACAGAGTGAATATACACCCCCTGCGATATTAACAGTAATATTGTCATATCCACCCGTGGATATTAGAAACTATATCACAAAAGGGGGATATACACCCCCTGTGATATTGGGAGTAATATCATCCTCTCGTCCCCTGGATACTAGGAACAATACCACAGGGGGTTTACACCGATGGAATATTGCAAGTGATATCATTCTTTCTTTCACAGGATATTAGAAACAATATCACAGGAGGGGTGTACACACTCTGCGATATTGGGGTTAACATAATCTCCACCCCCCCTTGATATTAGAAACAATATCACAGGTGGCATGTAACCCCCTGTGACATTGATAGAAATATCATCCTCTTTCCAACTGGATATAAGAAACAATATCACAAGAGGGGTGAATATTGAGATATTGAGGGTAATATCATATTAAGAGTAATATCATCCTCTTCCCCCCTGAATATTAGAAGTAATATCACAGACTGGATTTACACCTCCTGCGATATTGAGAGTGATAGTATGCTCTCTCCCTTTGGATATTATAAACAATATCACAAGGGGAGGTGTACAACCCCTCCAACATTGGGAGTAATATCCTCTTACCGCCTGGATAGTAAGAACTATATCACAGGAGGGTTTACACCTCCTGCAATATTGAGAGTTATATCATCCTCTCTTCCACTGCATATTAGAGTAATATCATCCTCTTCCTTCCTGGATATAAGGAAAAAATGTCAGAGGGAGGGTGTTCACCCCCTGCAATATCAGGAGTAATATCATCCTCCCTTCCTCTAGATATTAGGAACAATATCACAGGGAGCTGTATGCCCGCCCTGTGATATTGAAAGTAATATCATTATCTCTTTCCCTGGATATTAGGAACAATATCACAGGGGGGTTTGACACCCTCTATAATATTTGTAGTAATATCATTTTGTCCCTTCCTGGATATTAGGGACAGTATCACAAAAAGGTTGTACTCCTTTTGCGACATTGAAAGTAGTAATATCCTCTCTCCCCCTGGAAGTTAGGAACAATATTACTGAGAGGGTGTACACCCTTTGCCATATTGGGAGTAATAACATCTTCTCCCTTCTGGATATTTAACAAAATATTACAGGGGTGGTGACCACCCCCCTTGATATTGGGAGTAATATCATCGTCTCTCCTCTTGAATGTTAGGAATAATATAACAGGGGACGTGTACACTTTCTGTGATAATGGGAGTAATGTCATCCTCTCCCCACCTGGATATTAGGAACAATATCACAGGGAGGCTGTACACTATCTGCAATATTGAAAGCAGTATCATCTTCTTCCCCCCTGGATATTATGAATAATATCACAGTGGGGTGTACACCCCCTGCGAAATTGGAAGTAATATTATCCTCTCCCCCTCTGAATATTAAAAACAATATCACAGAAATGGCATACACCCCCTGCGATATTAGGAGCAATATTATCCTCTTCTAATCTGGATATTAGGAACAATATCACAGTGGGAGCATACACACCCTGTGACATTGGAAGTAATATCATCTTTTTCCCCTGAATATTAGAAACAATATCACAGGGGGAGTGTCCAGCCCCTGCGATATTGGGAGTGATATCATTTATTCCCTTTCTGGATATTAGGAAAAACATCATAGGAAGGTTGTACACCCCCTGCGATATTAAGAATATTATCATCCTCTTTCTACCTGGATATTAAGAACAATATCACAGCGGAGTTAAACATACTCTGCTGTATTGAGAGTAACATCATTCTTTCTCCACCTGGATATTAGGAGCTATATCACAGGGACGTGTAAAAGTCCTGTGATATTGAAAGTAATATCATCCATTTTCCCTTTGGAAATTAGGAACAATATCACAGGGGGATGTACACCCCCTGCAATATTGGGAGTAGTATTTTTTTTCCCGCCTGGATATTAGAAACAGTATCATGGGGGGGTGTACACCCTCTACAATAGTGAGAGTAATAACATCCTCTCCACCCATGGATATTGGGAACAATATAACCGGGAAGGTTGTACACCCCCTGCGATATTGGAAGTAATATCACTTTCTCCCCCCCAAAATTATTAGGAACAATATCACAGGGCGTTTGTACACTCCCTGCGTTACTGAGAGTAATATCATCCTCTCTTCCCCTGGATATGAAAAAATTTCAAAGAAGGTGTGTATGATCTCTGGGATATTGGGAGTAATATCATCCTCTCCCCTCTTTAATATTAGTAACAATATCACAGGGAGGGTGTACACCCCATGTGATATTGGGAGTCATATTATTTTATTCTCCCTCCCCTGTATTAGGAACAATATCACTGAGGAAGTGTACACCCGCTGAGATATTTGGAGTAGTATCATCCTCTCCTTACCTGGATATTAGGAAAAATATCACAGGGGAATGTACACCTTCTGTGATATTGAAAGTAATATTATTCTCTTCCTCTCTTTATATTAAAAACAATATCACAGGGGTGTGTGCAACTCTCTGTGATATTGAGAATAATATCATCCTCACCTCCTGTCTATTGAGATTAATATCACGGGGGGGGGGTGTACACACCGTGCTATATTGCAGGTAATATCCTCTCTCAACCTGGATATTAAAAACAAAATTACAGGGGAGTGTACCCGCCGTGCGATATTGAGAGTAATATAGTCTTCTCTTCTCCTGTATTAGAAACAATATCACAGAGGAGTGTACATTCACTGTGATATTAAAAGTAATATCATCCTCTTTTTCACTGGAAATTAGGAAAAATATTAAACAAGGTTTGTAAACCTTCTGTGATATTGGGAGAAGTATAAACCTCTCCCCATCTGGATATTAGGAACCAAATTACAGAGGGGGTTGTATACCTCCTGCGATATGGGGAGTCATATCATCCTCTTTCCTCCTGGATATTAAAAACAATATCATAGGAAAGTTGTACACATGCTGCGATATTGGAAGTAATATCATTCTCTCTCGCCGCGAAATTTGAAATAATATTACAGTGGGATTGTACACCCAATGCGACATTGAAAGTAATATCATCCTCTTCCCTCCTAAATATTAGGAATAATATCATGGGAGGGGTCTACACTTCCTGCGATATTGGGAATAATATCATCCTCGTCTCCCATTAATATTAGGAATAATTTCACAGAGTGAGTGTACATCCCCTGCGATATTGAGAGTAGTAATATTATACTCTCTCCTTCTGGATATTAAAAACAATATCACAAAGGGGGGTGTACACCCCCTGCAGTATTGTGAGTAATATCCTCCTCTTACCGCCTGGATATTAAGAAGTATATCAAAGGAGGGTTTACACCTCCTGCAATATTGGGGGTTATATCATCCTATCTTCCAGTAGATATTAGAAACAATCTCACAAGGGGTGTTTACACACCCTGAGATATTGGCAGTAATATCGTCCTCTCCCCATTTTGATATTAGGAACAATATCACAGGGGGCATGTAAACTCTCTGTGATATTGACAGTAATATCATCCTTATCTTCCCTGTGTATTAGGAACAATATAACAGGAGGCGTGTACATCCCCTGCGATATTGCGAGTAATATTATCCTATTGCCCCCTTGATATTAGGAACAATATCACAAAGTGGGCGTACACCCCCTGCAGTATTGAGAGTAATATCATCATCTCTTCTTCTAGATACTAGGACCTATATCCCAGGAAGGATGTACACTACCTATGATATTGGGAGTAAAATCACCCGCTCTTTTCGTTTTAATTAAGAACAATATCAAAGGGGACGTTCACACCCTCTGTGATATTGGATTAATATCATCCTTTCCCTTCCTGGATATTACCAACAATATCACAGGGTGGGGGTGTTCACTTCTGTGATATTGGGAGCAATAGCAGCTTCTTAACCTTTGGATATTAGGAACAATATTACTGAAGAACTGTACACCCTCTACGATCTAGGTAGTAAAATCTTCCTCTTTCTCCTTGGATATTAGGAATATCATCACAGAAGTGGTGTACACCCCCTGCGACATTGAAAGTAATATCATTTTTTCTCCCTTTGTATTAGGAACAATATCACGGGGGGTGTGAACACCCTGTGATATTGAAAGTAATATCGTCCTCTTCTCTTCTCTGTATTAAGAACAATATCACAGGGTGTACACCCGTTGCGATATTGCAAGCAATATCGTCATCTCCCAAACTGGATATTAAATACAATATCATAGGGGAGTGTACGCACCCTGCGATATTGGGAATAATATTATTTTCTGCTTTTAATGATATTTGGGAAAATACCACAAGAAGAATGTACACTTTCTGTGATATTGAGAGTAATATTATTGTCTCCCTCCTTGGATATTAGAATCAATATGACGGGCAGGGGGGCGCTGCACAGCTCCTCCAATATTGGTAGTCATATTATCCTCTCTGCCACTAGATGTTAGGAACAATATCATAGAGGGGTGTACACCCGCTGTGATATTGAAAGTAATATCATTCGCTTATTAACTGGATTTTAAAAACAATATCACAGTGGGTGTGTAACCCCCCTGCATTATTGGGATTAATATCGTCCTCTTCTCCACTGGATATTAAAAACAATATTACAGGGAAGGTGTAGCTCACCCGCGATATTGGGAGTAAGATCATCCTCTCCCCCTCTGAATATTAGGAACAATATCTCAGAAAATGTGTACACCCCCTGCGATATTGGGAGTAATATCATCCTCTTCCCTTCTGAATATTAGGAACAATATCACAGTGGGAGTGTACACTCCTTGAGATATTGGAAGTAATACCATTCTTTTCCACCCCACCCTGGATATTACGAACAATATCACAAAGAGGGTGTACACCCCCTGCGTTATTCGGAGTGATATTATTTATTCCACACCTGAATATTAGGAACAATATCAAAGGGTACACCCGTTATTGGGAATGATATCATCCTCTCTCTCCCTGGATACTAGGAACAATATCACAGGGGTAGTTTACACTCCCCTGCTATATTTGGAGTAATATTGTCTTCTTTCTCCCTGGATATTAGAAGCTATGTAGCAGGAGGTATGTACATCCCCTGGGATATTAAAAACAGTATCACCCTCTTTCCCCCCTGGATATTAGGAACAATATCACAAAGGGGATGTACACCCCCTTCAGTAATATCATTTTCTCCCCGCTTGCATATTGGAAACAATATCACAGGGGGTCGTACACCTTCTGTGATAGTTGGAGTAACATCATCCTCTCTGCCCCTGGACATTAGAAACAATATCACCAGGGTGGGTAAAACCCTTGCAATATTGAAAGTAATATCATTTTATCTGAACTTAAATATTAAGAACAATATCACAGGGGGCTTGTACACCATCTGCGATATTGAGAGTAATATCATCCTCTACTCCTTTGGACATTAAAAAAATATATATCAGAGGGGAAGTGTACACCCCCTGGGATATTGGAAGTAATATCAACACTTCCTCCACTAAATATTTTTAAAAATCACTGGGAAGGTGTACACCTTCTGCTATATTAAAATTAATATAATCCTTTTCCTTGTTTCCCATTAGAAACAGTATCCCGGGGGTGGTGTAAATTCCCTGTGATATTGGGGGTAACGTCATCATTTACCACCCTCTATATTAGAAACAATATCACAGAGGGTGTGTACACCTCGTTTGATATTACAAGTAATATTTTATTTCAACCTGGATATTAAAAACAATATCACAGGGGTGTGTGTACACGCCCTCTGATATTGGGAGTAATATCATCCTCTCCTCTCCTGGGTATTAGAAAGACTATCACAGGGAAAGCGTACACCCTCTGCGATATTGATACTAATATCATTTTGCTCCCCCCACACCAGATAACAGAAACAATATAGGAGGAGTAACAGCCCCTGCAATATTGGGAGTAATATTATTTTCTCCACCCCTGGATATTAGAAGCAATATCACAGGGTGGTTTACACCCTCTATGATATTGAAAGTAATATCATCTTCTTTACTGGCAATTAAGAACAATATCACAGGAGGTGTTTAAATTACCTGTGATATTGGTAGTAATATCATCTCTCCACCACAGCATTAGAAACAATGTTATGGGAGGGGAATGCACACCTCCTGCGATATTGGGACTAATATCAATCTCTCCTCCTTGATATTGAAAACAATATCACAGGAAACTTGTACACCTGCTGTGATATTTGTAGTAATATCATCCTTTTCCAAACTGGATATTAGCAACAATATCACAGGGGAAGTACACCCCACCTCTGTGATATTGTTCCTAATATCCAGTATGGGAGAGGATAATATTACTTGATGAGAGGATGATATTACACCCCCTGTGATATTGGGAGTAATATTATTTTCTCGTAACCTAAATATTAAGTATAATATCACAGGGGAGGTGGATATCCCCTGCGATATTGAGAGTAATATTATTATCTTCTCTCTTGGATATTAGGAAATGTATCAATGTGAGGAGGAAGCCCCTGGGATGTTGAAAGCTATATAATCCTCTCTCCCTCTAAATAGTAGAAACAATATCAAAGAAAGGCTGTATATGCCTGCCATATCGGGAGTAATATTATCCTCTCCCCACTCTTTATATTAGGAACAATATCACAGAGGCGGGATACACCCCCCAAGATATTAAAAGTAATATCATCCTCTCCACACCTGGATATTAGAAAAAATATAACTGGGAATGTGTACACCCCCTGCGATATTGAAAATAATATAATCCTCTTCCTTCCTCCATATTAGAAACAATATTACAGGGGTGGGCATGTAAACTCCCTGCGATATTGGGAGTGAAATCATAATCTCTGCCTCTGTATATTAGGAACAGTATCACATAGTGTGTGTACACTTTGTGAGATATTGCAAGTAATCTCATCCTTTCTCAACCTGGTTTTTAAAAACAGTATCACAGCGGGGTGTACACGTTCTGCGATATTGGGAGTAATGTCATCCTCTTCTCTCCTGAATATTAAAAAAAAATCACAGGGAAAGGGTACATCCCCTGCGATATTGAGAATAATATTATTTTCTCCCCCCAACCGGGATGTTAGAAACAGTATCACGGAGTAAGGCCGTGTATGACACCTGCGATTTTGGGAGTAATATTATATTCTCCTTCCATGGATATTATGAACAATATTGAAAGGGGGTTGTAACACCTCTTGAAAAATTAAATGTAATATCATTCTCTCCTTCACTGGAAATTAAAAACAATATAACAGGGCATGTGTAAGCTCCCTGTGATATTGGTAGTAATATCATCCTCTTCCACACTGAATATTAGGAACAATATTATAGTGGGGGTGTACACCCTTTGCAATATTGGGAGTAATATCATCCTCTCCCCCTGTGGATATTAAAAACAATATCACAGAAAAGTTGTACACTTGCTGCAATATTGAAGGTAATATCATCCTCTTCCACTCTGGATACTAGGAAAAATATCACAGGGGGGATGTACACCTCCTGAGATAATGGATGTAGTATTTTCCTCTCCCCCACGGATATTAGGAACAATATCACCGGAAAGGGTGTACACCACCTGCGATATTGGGAGTAATATAATTTTCTCCCAAACTATTAAGAACAATATCACACGGGAGGTGTACATCTTCTGCTGTGATATTGAGAGTAATATAATCCTCTCCTCACCTGGATATAAGGAAAAATATCAAAGGGGGTTGTACATTTCCTGTGATATTGGAAGTAATATCATTCCGTTTCTTTCTAAATATTAGAAACAATATTAAACGGAGGGTGTACACTCCTGTGATATTGGGAGTAATATCATTCTTTATTCTTCCCTGTAATTTAGGAATAATATCACAGAGAGAGTGTGTGATATTAAGAGTAATATTATCCTCTCCTCCCCAGATATCAAAAATAATATCACTAAGAAGTTATACACCCACTGTGATATTCAAAGAAATATAATTCTCTTCCTCCCTTATATTATAAAAAATTATACAGGGCAGGTTAAATTCCCTGCTATATTAAAAGTAATATCATTCTCTCCTTCTCTGTATATTAACAATATCACAGAGTGTGTGTGCGCCTTGTGGGATATTGCAAGTAATATTATCATCTCCCAACATAAATGTTAAAAACAATATCATATGGGGAGGTACATGCCCTTCTATGTTGGGAGTAATATCATCCTCTCCTTTCCTGGATATTAGAAACAATATAACAGGAAAAATGTACATCTCCTGCGATATTGAGAGTAATATCATTTTCTCCATAACTCAATATTAGAAACAATATCTGGGGGGGAGGGGCGTACAGCACCTGTGACATTAGAAGTAATATCACCCAATTCCCCCATGAATATTAGAAACAATATTACATGGGGGTTGTGCACCCCCTGCAATATTGGGAATAATATCACCCTCCCCCCCCTTGATGTTAACAGCAATATTACAGAAAAGTTGTACAACTGCTAGGATAGATATTGGAAGTAATATCATCTTCTCATCCCCCGGATATTGGGAACAATATCACAGGGGGCGTGTACACCCCCTGCGATATTGGGAGTAATATCATCCTCTTTCCTTCTGGATATTAAGAACAATATCACAGGTGTACATTCTCAGCCATATTGGGAGTAATATCATTGTCTTCCTCCCTGGATGTTAGAAAAATATCACAGGGTGCTGTTACAACCCCCTGCAATATTGAGAATAATATAATCCTCTCTTTCCCTAGATAGTAGAAACAATATCACAAGGGAGTATGTACACTCCCAGCAACATTGGTGGTAATATCATCCTCTTTCCTCCTGGATATTAGGAACAATATCACAGAGGAATTTATGGCATCTGCGATATTGGTAGTAATATCATCTCCTCTTTCACTGGATATTAGAAACACAATGGGTGTGTACATCCTCTGCGGTATTCAAAGTAATATCATCCTCTTTCCCCCTTGATATTAGGAACAATATCAAAAGTCGGATGTACACCTCCTGCAATATTGGAAGCAATATTATTCTCTCTTCCTAGATTTTAGGAAATAAATGACATTAGGGGGAGTACACACCCTTCGATATTGGGAGTACTATTATTCTCACTTTTCCAATATTTTAGGAATCATGTCACAGGAAATTAAACACTTCCTAAGACATTTGGAGTAATATCCTTCTTTTCCTTTTTGGATATTAGAAACAATATCATGGGGGTTGTTCACTCGCTATGGTATTGGGAGTAATACCAGCCTCTTAAATTTTGATATTAGAGACAACATCACATGGGGAATGTATACTCCCTGCGATATTGAAAGTAATATCTTCCTCTTTCCATCTGGATATTAGGAACAATATCACAGGGGGGTTGTATACCTTCTGCGATATTGCCAGTAATATCATCCTCTCCCCTCCTGGGTATCAGGAACAATATCACAGGGAAGATGTACATCCCCTGTGATATTGGGAGTAATATCATCCTCCCTTCCCCTGGATACTGTGAACATTACCAAAGTGGGGGTGTACACTCCCTGTGATGTTAAGAGTAATATCATTTCCTCATGCCCGGTATATTAGGAACAATATAACAGAAGGGGTGTACATTCCTTTCTATTTTGGGAAATATATCCCTTCTCTCCGTGGATATTAGAAACAATATTACAGGCGCGTTGTATCCCTTCTGCGATATTGGGAGTAATATCAACCACTACCTCCCAGATATTAAGAACGATATAAGAGGGGGGTTTACACCCCCTGCAATATTGGCAATAATATCATCCTCTTCCCCCGTGGATATTAGGAATAATGTCATTGGAGTGGTGTACAACCCCTGCAATATTGGAAGTAATATCATTTTTTTTTACACCTGGATATTAGAAACAATATCCCATAAAAATTGTTTGTAATATCTAGAAGAGGAGAGAAGGGTGATATTACTCCCCATATCATGGGCTGTGTATACCTTCCTGTGATATTGGGGGTAATATCTTCTCGCCCTCTGGATATTAGGAACAATATCACAGGGGGATGTACACAGCCTGTGATATTGGAAGTAATATCGTCTCCTTCTTTGTATATTAGGAACAATATCACAGGGAAGTGTACACGCCCTGCAATATTGGAAGTAGTATCATCTTCTTTTTTCCTGGATATTATGAACAATATCACAGCGGGGTGTGTACCTTCTGTGATATTGGGAGTAATATCAACCTCACCCCCCAGAAATTACCAGCGATATAGTAGGGTGGTGTACACATAGGGTGTTTAAGATATTGGGAGTAATATCGTCCTCTTTCTCCATGGATATTATGAACAATATCAGAAGGGGGTGTACAGCCCCTGCGATATTGAAAGTGATATTATCTTCTCCCACCCTGCATATTAAAAACAACTTCAAATGAAGGTGTACACTCCCTGGGATATTGGGAGTAATATCATCCTCTTTCCTTCTGGATATTACAGACAATATCACAAGGGGGTATACACCCCCTGCAATATTGCAAGTAATATTATACTCTCCCATCTTTAATATTACAAACAATATCACAGGGGGGTGTACACCCCCTGCGATATCAAGAGTAATGTCATTGCCTCCCCCCTGGATATTACGAACCATATCATGGGGTGGGTGGTACAACGCTTGCGATATTAAGAGTAATATCATCATCTCCCCGTCTGGATACTACAAACCATATCACCTCTTGTGATATGTTTCTTAATATCCAGCGGGGTTGAGGTGTGTGATGTACACACCCCTTTTGATATTGTTCATAATATGCAGGGGGGGAAGAAGGGTGCTATTATTCTCCATATTGCAGAGGGTGTCCACCTTCCTGTGATATAGTTCATAATATCCAGTGGGGGAGAGGGTGATATTACTCCCCATATCGAGGAGGGGATACACACTCCTTGTGATATGGTTTATAATATCCAGAGGAGGAAAGGACGGTGATTATACTCCCCATATTGCAGAAGCGTACACCCTCCTGTGATATGGTTTTTAATATCCGACGGGAGAGTAGGGTGATATTACTTCCTATATCACAGGGGGGTGTAAGACCCCTGTGATACGGTTTCTAATATCCAAAGGGGGAAAAAGAGGATGGCATTACTTTTCATTCTTGAAGGGCATAAGCCCCCCTGTGTTATGGTTGGTAATATCCAGAAAAGGAGGAGAAGATGTTATTACTTCCCAAATCGCAGGGGCATACAACCCCCTGTGATATGTTTCATAACATTCCTGGGGGAAGAGGAGAATATTACTCCTCATATCGCGGGGGTCGTACACCCCCCTGTGATATGGTTCATAATATCCAGAGGGGGAGAGGATGTTGATATTACTCCCCATATAACAGGGGTGTACACCATTCTGTGACATGGTTTGTAATATTCAGAAGAGGAGGGGAGAGTGATATTATTCCCCATATCTCAGGGAGCGTACACCCCTCTGTGATATGGTTCATAATACCTTGAATAAGAGAGAGTCACATTACTCTTCATATTGAAAAGGGAGTACACCCGCTGTGATGTGGTTTGTAATATCCTGGGGAAAAGATGGTGATATTACTCCCATATCGCGGAGAAGGTTCCATACACCTGTGATATGATTCATAGTATCCCGTGGGGGAGAGAGTGATATTAATCCCCATATTGCAAGAAAAGTACACCTCTCTGTGATATTAGTTGTAATATCAAAAAGGTGAAAGGATATCGTAGGGCGAGTACAGTCCCCTGTGATATGGTTCCTAATACCAAGGGGGAGAGAGACTATTACTCCCAATATCGCAGAGCGTGTACACCCACTGTGACATTGTTTTTCATATTCAGGGAGAGAAAATAAGATATTTCTTTCAATATCACAGGAGGTGTTCACTCTTCCTGGGAATATTGTTCCTAATATTCAAGAATAAGAGGATGATATTACTGCCAATATCATAGGGGGTTTACACCCCTCGTGTAATACTATCTGTAATTTCTATTGGGGGAAAAGATGATATTACTCTCAATATCGCAAAGTGTGTACACCACCTTGGGATATTTTTCGTAATATTTAGGTGTTAGAGAATATTATTACTCCAAATACCGCAAGGGTTGTACACTCCGAGTTATGTTGTTTGTAATATCCAGGGGGAAAGAGGATGATATTACTCCTAATATCACAGAGGCCATACACCCCCCTGTGATATTGTTCATAATATTCAGAGTGGGGAGAGGATGTTTTTACTCTTAATGTCGCAGGAGTTTAACCTTGCTGTGATATTGTTTGTAATATCCAGAACGGGAGAGGATGATGTTACTCCCAATATCTCAGGGGGTGTACACCCCTCTGTGATATTTTTTGTAATATTCAGAAAAAAAGAGAATGATATTTCTCCTAATATCGCAGAAGGTGTATATTCCCCTGTGATATTGTTCATAATATACAGAGGGGAAGAGAATGATATTACTTCAAGTATCACAGGAGGTGTCCACCTTCCTGTGATATTGTTCATAATACTAAAGAGGGGACAAGATGATATTACTCCCAATATCGCAAAGAGTGTACACTAGCTGTGATATTGTTCCTAATATCCACAAGGGTAGATGACGATATGACTCCCAAAATCGCAGTGGGTGTGCACCCTCCTGTGATATTGTTTGTAATATCAAGAAGTAGAGAGGATGATATTACTCTCAATATCAAAGGGGGAGTACATCTTCATGTGATTTTTTTGTAATATCCAGAAGGGGAGAGAATGATATTACTCTTAATATCGCAGAGTGTGTACACCCCCCTGTGATATTTTTCATAATATTTAGGGGTGTAGAGGATGATATCATTCTCAATATCGCAGGGGCCGTAGCCTCCTCTGTGATATTGTTTGTAATATAAAGGGTGGGAGAAGATGATATTTCTCGCAGTATCGCAGGGGGTGTACACGCCACTGTGATATTGTTTGCAATATCCAGGGAAAAAGAGGATAATGTTACTCTAAATAAGGAAGGGGCTGTACACAGCACTGTGATATTGTTCCTAATATCTAGAAGGAAAAACGATGATATTACTCCCAATATCCCAGGGAGTGTACACTCCCTTCTGATGTTGTGTGTAAGAACCAAAAAAGAGAAAATGATATCACTTTCAATATCGCAGGGGGTGTACACCCCCCTTTAATATTGTTCAAAATAACTAAAAGAGGAGAAGATGATATTACTCTCAGTATCTCAGGAAGTGTGCACCCCCTGGAATATTGTTCTAAAAGAATAATATTAATCTCAATATCACAGGGAGTGTACACCAACCCCTATGATATTGTTTGAAATATACATGGAAAGAGAAAATGATATTACTCCCAATATCGTAGGAGGCAAACACACCTCTTGTGATATTGTTCCTAATATCCAGGGAAAAAGAACAAGATATTACTTTCAATATCGCAGGGTGTATACCCCTCCCTGATATTGTCTTTAATATTTAAGGGGGAAAGAGTATGATATTACTCCCAATATTCCAAAGGGTGTACACATTTTTGTAATATTGTTCCTAATATTCAAGAGGGGGAGATGATGATATTACTCACAATATCGCAAGGGGTGTACACCTACCCTTTGATATTGTTCCTAATATCCAAGAGGGGAGAGGATAATATTACTCCCACTATCTCAGGATGTGTTTACCCCACTGTGATATTGTTTGTAATATCAAGAAGAGGAAAGGATGCTATTACACTCAATATTGAAGGGGGAGTACATTTCCATGTGATATTTTTGTAATATTCCAAAGGGGAGAGGGTGATATTACTCTTAATATCTCAGAGGGTATACACTCCCCTGTGATATTGTTTGTAATATTTGGGGTGAGGAGAGAGAATGATATCGTTCCCAATATCTCTGGGGCTGTACTACCCTCTGTGATATTGTTCATAATATCCAGGGTGGGAGAAGATGATATTACTCGCAATATCGCAATCGCAGAGGGAGTACACCCCACTGTGATATTGTTTGTTATATCAAGGGAAAAAATAGGATAATATTACTCCAAATATCGAAGGGGCCGTACGCCTCCCTGTGATATTGTTCATCATATCCAGAAGTAAAAGTGTGATATTACTCTTAATATTTCAGGGAGTGTACACTTTCCTGTGATGTTGTTCTTAATGTCCAGGGAAGAGAAAATGATATTACTCCCAATATCGCAAGTGGTATACACCCCCCTTTGTTATTGTTTAAAACATACAAAAGAGGAGAGGATGATATTACTCCCAATATTGCAGGAAATGTACACCCCCTCTGTAATATGTTTCTTACTATCCAAAAAGGAAAGGATGATATTAAACCCAATATCACAGGGGTGTAGACCACCCTTGTGATATTGTTCCAAATATCCATGGAGAGAGAAAATAACATTATTCCCAATATCGCAGGGAGTGTGCACCCCTCCTGTGATATTATTCCTAATATCCAGGGAAGAAGAACAACGCACTACTCCCAATATCGCAGGGTGCAAAACCCCCTTGTGATATTGTTTTTAATATTTAAGAGAGAAAAAAGGGTGATTTCACTCCCAACATTGCAGGGGGTGTGCACCCCTTCTGTGACATTGTTCCTAATATTTAGAAAAAATGAGTATGATATTACTCTCAATATCGCAAAGGGTGTACGCTCTATTTGTGATATTGTTCCTAATATCCAGGAAGGGAGACGATGATATTACTTCCAATATTGCAGGGGATGTCCACTCTCCCGTTTTATTGTTTCTAATACCCAAGGGGGGAAAGGATATTACACCCAATATCGCAGGATGTGTACACCCCAGCTGTGATACTCTTTCTAACATTTAGTGGTGGAGAGGAGTGTGATATGACTCCTTATATCATGGGGGGTGTACACCTCCTGTGATACGGATTATAATATCCAGGGGGCAAGAGGAGGGTGATATTGCTCTCAATATCACGGGAGTTGTACAATCCCTTGTGGTATGATTTGTAATATCCAGGATGGGAGAGGAAGGTGATATTACTTTTTATATCTAGGAGGAATAAAAACCCCTGTGATATAGTTCGTAATTCCTAGCGGGAAAAACAAGGGTGATGTTACTCCCCATGTCGCGAGTGGTGGTCACCCTTCTGTGATATGGTTTGTTACACCCAGGGGGGAGAAGAGGGTGATATTATTTTCAATATCCTGGGGCGTGTACACCTCCCTGGGATATGGTTCATAATAGCTAGGAAGGGAGAAGTGGGTGATATTACCCCCCACATCGAGGGGAGTGTACACCCCCTGTGATACAGTTTGTAATATCCAGAAGGCTAGAGGGAGATATTACTTCCCATATCGCAGGAAGCCTATATCCCCCTGTGATATGGTTCATAATATACAGGAGGGAGAGGGTGATACTACTCTCCATGTCACGTAGTGAAGACACCCCACTCTCATGATATGGTTTGTAATATCCGGGGGGGCGGGTAGAGGGTAGTATTACTCCCTATATCGCGAAAGTGTGATATAGTTCGTAATCTTCCAGGTTTGAGAGGCTGATATTACTCTCCATATCGTGAGGGGCATACACCCCTCTGTGATATAATTCATAATATCACAGGGTGATATTACTCCTCATATCGCATGGAGTGTACATCCCCTGTGATATGGTTTGTAATATTCCGGGTGGGAGAGGGTGATATTGCTCTCCATATAGTGAGGGGCGTAAACCCCTTGTATATGATTCGTAATATTTCAGGGGAGAGAGGGTGATATTACTCCCCATATCGTGGTAGGCGTACACCCCCCTGTGATACGGTTCATAATATCTTGGGAAAAAGAAGTTGATATTACTCCCCACATCGCGGGGTGGGGGGGGGCGTACACTCCCTTGTTATATGGTTCATAATATCCCCAGGGGGAGAGGGTGATATTACTTCTTATACCACGGGGGTGTACACCCCTCTGTGATATGGTCTGTAATATCCTGGTGGGGAGAGGAGGATATGACTTCTTATACCGCGGGGAGCGTACACCCCCTTGTGATATGGTTCCTAATATCCCGGGGAAGAAAGGGTGATATTACTCTCCATACCACGGAAGCTTACACCCCACTGTGACATGGTTCATTATTTCCTGGAAGGGAGAGGGTGGCATTACTCCCTAAATTGTGGGGAGCGTACACCCCTATGTGACCTGGTTCATAATATTTTGGGGGAAACAGGGTAATACTACTTTCCTTATTGTGTTGGTTGTACACCCCCCTGTGACATGGTTTGAAATATCCCGGGCGGGTGGGGGGGAGTGGGTGATATTATTCACCATATCGTGGAGGGCATACCCCCCCTCGTTATATGGTTCATAATATTCTGGGGGGGGGAGAGGGTGATATCACTCCCCATATCGTGGAGGTTTTACACCACCCTGTGATATGGTTAATAATATGGAGGGGGAGAGAGGATGATAATACTTTCCATATCGCGGGGAACGTACACCCCCCCCCCCATGATATGGTTTGCAATATCCTGTAGAGGAGATGGTGATATTACTCCACATATCGCCAGGGGGCTACATCTCTCTGTAATATGGTTTGTAATATCCCAGGGAAGAGAGGGTGATCTTGCTCCCCATATATAGCGGAGGGCGTACACCCTTCTGTGATATGGTTCTTAATATTCTGAAGGGGAAAGGATTATATTACTCCCCATATAGCAAAGGGCATACACTCCCCTGTGATATGGTTCGTCATATCTCAAGGAATAGAGGGTGATATTACACCTCATATGGTGGGAGGTGTACAACCCCTGTTATATTGTTCATAACATTCAGTGGGAAGAGGGTATTACTCCCCATATTTGGGGGGATGTAAACCCACCTTTGATATGATTTGTAATATCCAGGAATAGAGAGGGTGATATTACTTCCCATATTGGGGGGTTGTACACCCCCCTGTGATATTGTTCATAATATCCAGGGGGAAACAGGGTAATATTACTCCCTATATCACGGGACCTGTGATATGCTTCCTGATGTCTCGGGTGGAGAGGGTGATATTACTCCCCATTTCGTGGTTGGGACGTACACCCGCCTGTAATATGGTTCATAATATTCCGAGTAGGGGAGGGTAATGTTACTTTCCATATTGCAAGAAAGTACACCACCTTGTGATTTGGATTGTAATATTTCGTGTGGGAGAGGGTAATATTATTTTCCATCTCGCTTGGGGTATACACTACCCTGTGATACGGTTTGTAATATTCCAGGAGGGAGAGGGAGATATTACTCCTGATATCGCTAGGGACGTATAACCCTCTATGATATGGTTCATAGTACCTTGGGAAAGAGAAGCTGATGTTACTCCCAATATTGCGGGGTGGGGGGACGTACACCCCTCTGTGATATGGTCGGTAATATCCCGGTGGGGAGAAGGGAATATTACTTTCCTTATCGCGGGAGTGTAAACATACCTGTGATGTGGTTCGTAATATCTTCGGGGGGAGAGGGTGATATTACTACCCAGATCGGCTAGACCATACACCCCCCTGTAATATGGTTTGTAATATTCCATGGGGGAGAGGGTGATATTACTCTAGCCATCGCGGGGCGTACACACCCTGTGGTTCATAATTTCCAAGAAGGGAGAGGATGACACTACACCCCATATCGCAAAGAGCATACACTTCTCTGTGACATAGTTTGTAATTTTTTTGGGGGGGAAAGGGTGATATTAATTTCCTTATTGTGCAAGGCGTAGACACCCCTGGGCCGTGGTTCGTGATATCTTGGGAAAGAGAGGGCAATATTATTCCCCATATCGGGGAGGGCACAAACCCCCTGTGATATGGTTTGTAATATTCTGGGGGAAGTGGATAATTTTACTTCAAAAGTCGTAAGGGGCATGCACTCCCTTGTGGAGAAGAGAGGGTGATATTATTTCTCATATCGTGGAGGGCGTACACCACCCTGTGATATGGTTTGTAATATCCTGGGGAGTAGGGGGTGACATTACTCCCCATATTGCCGAGGGAGTTCACCTTCCTGTGATATGGTTTGTAATATACTGGGACAGAAAGGGTGATATATCTCCCAATATGGCGGGGGGCATACACGTCCCTGTAACATGGTTTGTAATATTTTTTGGGGAAAAGAGTGATATTATTCTTCATATCACTCCCCATATGGAGGGGAGTAAGAGCAACCCCTCTCCCCCGCTGGTTCTTAGCAGCCATACAGCAGGGGGGAAGACAGCCCCCGCCATATGAGGAGAAACAGCAACCCCCTCTGGCTAATATGAACTGAATGGCAAAGGGGTATAACCACACACCTTATGGGGAGTAAGAGCACCGCCCTTCACCCCTGGCTCCTACTAACCTAATGGCAGGTGGGTGGACATCCTCCGCGATAGAAGCACCCCCTCTCCCCCACCGGCTCTTACGCACCATACGGCAGGGGGGTGGACACCCTTCCCCATTTGGGAAGTAAGAGCACCCCCTTCTCCCTCCTGGCTCTTATGAACCAAATGGCAAAGGGGTGGACACCCCCAGCCATATGGGGAGTAAGAGACTCCCTCTCCCCACACTGGCTCTTACGAACGATGGCAGAGGGGTGGACACCTCCCACCATATTGGGAGTAAGAGCACTACCTTCTTCCCCACTGGCTCTAACAAACCGAATGGCAAGGGGGTGGACATCCCACGCCATAAGGGGAGAAAGCATCTCCTCTCCCCCACTGGCACTTACGAACCGTATGGCAGGGGGCTGGACACCCCCAGCCATAGAAGGAATAAGAGTCCCCCCCTCTACCCCCGGCTCTTACAATCCATGTGGCAGGGGGTGTGGACACCCCCCGCCATATGGGGAGTAAGAGCACCCCCCTCTCCCCTGCTGCGGCACTTACGATTTGTGTGGCAGGGAAGGTGGACACCCCCCGCCATATGGGGAGTAAGAGCATCCTCCTCTCCCCACGTGGCTCTTAGGATCCATGTGGCGGGTTGGTGGGTGGCACCCCCCACCATATGAGGAGTAAGAGCACCCCTCTCTCCCCCTCCCTGGCTCTTAAGATCCATTTGGCAGGGGGTGGACACTCCCCGCCATATGGGCAGTAAGAGCAACCCCCTCTCCCCGCCCCAGCTGTTATCATCCATATGGCAGGGGGGTGGATGCCCCCCTTCATATGGGGATTAAGAGCACCCCCCATCCCCACCTGGCTCTACGATCCATGAGGTGGGGGGTGGAGACACCCCGCTTTATGGGAAGTAAGAGCACCCCCCTCTCACCTCCTGGCTCTTAAGAATCATATGGTACTGGGAGTAAGAGCACCCCTCTCTCTTCTTCTGGCTCTTACGAACCATATGCCGGGGGTGGACACCCTCTCTATATGGGGAGTAAGAGCGCTCCCTCTCTTCTCCCCGTCTCTTACGAACCATCTGGGAATCATATCACCGGGGGTGGACACACCGGATTTTTATATTGGAAGGATTATTATCTCCTCTGGATATTACGATAATATCGCACTGTGGTGGACACTCAGGATTTTTATGATATTGGAAGTAATGTCTCCTTTTCTGGATTTTACGAACAATATCACTTGGGGTTGTAGTCTTCCTGCCATTTGGGGAATAATTTCATACTTTTATTTTCTTTATATTAGGAACAATATCACAGTGGGTTTTACACCCCCTTTTATATTTGCATTTTTATCGTGTTTTTCTCCTGAATATTAGAAAGAATATCACAGCTGGGGTGTACATCCCTTGCAATATTGAAAGTAATACCCTGACTCATTCTTCATGGATATTAGGAACAATATCAGAAAGGTAGTGCACAGTTTGTGTCACATTGGGAGTAATATCATTCTCCCCCTTAATAGATATTCAGAACAATATCACTGGGGTGGTGTTTCCTCTTCTGTGATATTGGGCGTAATGACCACCTCTTTCCTCCTGGAATTTAGAAACAATATCCCCGGGGGTTGTAAACCTTCTGCAGTATTTGGAGTAATATAATCCTCTCCCTCCCTGAATATTACGAACAGCGTCACAGTGGGGATGTACACCCTCTGCAACATTGGGAGTAATATCATCCTCTCTCCTTGTTATTACAAACTATATCAGAGGGAGCGTGCCCTTCCTCTGTGATATTAAGAGTAGTAACATCCTCTTCTTCCCAGGATGCTAACAACAATATAACATGGGGTTGTACACCCTCTGCGACATCGGGAGTAATACCATCGTCTCTCCTCTGGATATTACGAAAAATATAATTGTGGGTGTGTATACCGCCTGCGATATTGGGGGTAATATCTTCTACCCCCCGGATATTAAAAACAATATCACAGGAGGGGTGTACACCCCCTGCGATATGGGTCATAATATTATTCTCCCCCCCCCCGTGGGTATTAGAAACCGTATCACAGGAAGGGTGTACACTCTTTGAGATATTGGGTGTAATATCATCCTTTTCCACCCTGGATATTAGGGAAAATATTACAGAAGGGTGTACATCCCTTGCGATATTGGGGGTAATATCATCTTCTTCCTTTATAAATATTAGAAACAATATCAGAGGGCTTGTGTACACCCCCTGCGATATTGAGAGTTATGTCATTCTCTTTATTCATCGACATTGGGAACAATATCACAGGGGTGATGTACACTTCCTGCAATTTTAAGAGTACTATCATCCTCTTTTATTTTGTATGTTAGTAACAACATCACAGGGGCATTATACACCTTCTGCAATATTGGGAGTAATGTCATCCTCTGTCCTCTTGGATATTAGTAACAATATCCAGGAAGGGTGGACACCCTTTGCGATAATGGCGATAATATCAACCTCTTTTTTTCTGGATATTATGAACAATATCAGAGGGGGAGTGTACACTTCCTGCAATATAAAGTATAATATCACCCTCTTATTTCCTTTATATTAGAAACAGTATCATAAGGGAGGTGTACACCTCTGCAATATTGGGGGTAATATTCTCCTTCTTTTACCCAGATAACAGAAAAAAAAGTCACAAAAGAAGTGCACACCCTCTTCGGTATTAGGGGTAATATCATCCTCTTTTTTTTTTTTTTTTTGGATATGTGGAACAATATCACAGGGTGGAGTGATATTGGAAGTCATATGATAGTCTCTCTTCCTTAATATAAGGAATAATATCACAGAAAATGTTTACATCTTGTACAGTATTGGGAGTACTATCATCAACTTTACCACTGGATATTAGAAACAAATTCACAGAGGGTGTACATCCCCTGCGATATTTGGAGTAATATCATCCTCTTCTCCCCTGGATATTAGGAACCATATCACAGGGCGTGTGTACACCCCCTTCAATACTGGGAGTAATATCATCCTCTCTTCTTAGATATTAAAAACAACATCCGAGTGAGGGGTGTACACACCCTGCGAAATTGGGAGTAATATTATCCTCTTTCCCTGGATGTTAGGAATAATATTACAGAAGATTGAACACTTTCTGTGATATTTGAAGAAATATTATTCTTTCCTTTTCTGGATATTATAAACAATATGACAAGGGCGTGTTTACCTTCTGTGGTATTGGGAGTAATATCAGCCTCTTAACCTTTGATATTAGGAACAATATCATGGGGGGGGGTGTACACTCCCTGCCATATTGAAAGTATTATTATCCTCTTTCCCTCTGAATATTAGAACCATTATAAGAGGAGGGGTGTACACGATATTGTAATATCACCCTCTCCTCTCCTAGATATTAAAAACAATATCATGAAAACATTGTACACGTGCTGCGGTATTGGGAGTAATGTCATCCTCTCCCTCCCCAATATAATTGGAACAATATCACGCGGGGGCGTACATCCGGTGCGATATTGCCAATAATAGCATCCTCTTCCAAACTGGACATTAAAAACAATATCTCAGGGGTGTGTAAATGCCCTGCATAATTGTAAGTATTATTACTTTCTCCCATCTTGAATATCAGGAACAATATCAAAATTGGAGTGTACACCCCCGCTATATTGAAAGTAATGTCATTTACTCCCAACCTGGATATTAGAAACAATATTACAGGGGCAGTGTACAGCCTCTGAGATATTTGGAATAATATTCTCCTCTCCCCCCTGGATATTAAAAAAAGTCATAGGGGGTGTACACCACCTGCGATATTAAAAGTCATATCATCCTCTCCTTCACTGGATATTAGAAACAATATCACTGGGGGCGTGTAAACACCCTGCGATATTGAAAGTAATCTCCTCTCCCTCCCTAGATATTTAAAACAATATTACAGGAAAGTTGTACATCTTCTGAGGTATTGGGAGTAAAACCTTTTCTCCCCCCCCGCCCCCCGCATATTAAGAAAATATTACAAAGATTGTGTACACCCCCTGCGATATTAGGGATAATGTCATCCTCTTTTCTCCTGGGTATTAGAAACAATATTGCAGAGGGGGTTTACATCCCCTGCGATATTGGGAGTAATATTATTCTAGAAACCGCTGAATATTACAAACAATAGCACAATAAAAAGTGTACATCCCCTGTGATATTGGGAGTAATTTCATCCTCTCGCCTCCTGGATATTAGAAACAATATCACAGGGGGGGTTACATCCCTGCAATTTTGGAAGTAATATCATACTTTCCTCCACTGGATATTAGAAACAATATCTCTCAGGGGTAGTGTACACCACCTCCGATATTGAGCGTAATATAATCTACTATAATATAATATCAAGGAGAAATCCCTTGATATTAAAAACAATATCAAAGGGAGGGTGTAACCCCCCTGTGATACTGACGGTAATACCATCCTCTCCCTCACTATATATTAGGAACAGTGTCACAGAAGGGATGTACATCCCCTGCGATATTGGGAGTAATATCATCCTCTTCTCTCTTGGATACTAGGAACAATATTACAGGGTGGGTGTACACCCCGTGTAATATTGGGAGTAATATTATCCTCTCTTCCACTAGATATTAGAAACAATATCACGGGGGTGGGCTTGTACACCTCCTAAGATATTGGGAGTAATATCACTCTCTTTTTCTCTGGATATTGGAACAATAACACAGGTTGGGGTGAACACCCCCTGTGATATTTGAAGTAGTATTCTCTTACCTTCTGGATATTAGGAACAATATCATAAGAAGGTTGTACACCCTTTGCGATATTGGGAGTAATATCGTCCTGTATTCCCCTGGATATTAAAACTATATTACTGCCTTATTGGGAGTAATATTATTTTCTCCTCCTCTTGATATTTAACACAATATCAAAGCGAGGGTGTACACCCCTGCAATATTGGGAGTAATGTTTTCTTTCCCCCTCCCTGGAAATTAGGAAAAATATCATGGGGGGTGTACACCCCCTGCGATATTTGGAGTAATGTCATTCTCTTCCCTTCTGGATGTTATGAACAATATCATAGTGGGAGTTTATACACCCTGCCACATCGGAAGTTATATGATCTTCTTTCCTTCTTGATATTAGAAACAATATCACAAGGGAGGATATTGGTAATGATATCATTTATTCCCCCCTTGGATATTAGGAACAGTAACACGGGGCGGGTGTACTCCCCCTACGATTTTGGGAGTGATATCATCCTCTCCCTTCCTAAATATTAGAAACAATATTACAAATGGAGGGGGTGCACACCCCTTGCTATATTGGGATTCATATCGTTCTCTCCCCTGCTGGATATTAAAAGTTGTATCACAGGGGTTGTAATATCATCCTCTTCCCCCGTTAATATTAGGAACAATATCACGGGGCAGTGTACACCCCCTACGATATTGGGAGTAACATCATTTTCTATCCGCCTGGATATTAGAAACAATATCATCGGGTGGGGGGGTGTATACCCCTGCTATAGTGGAAGTAATATCATCCTCTCCGCCCTTGGATATTAGCAACAAAATCACCGGGAAGAGTGTACACTCCCTTCTATATTGGGAGTTACATTAATTTCTCCCAACCTAAATATTAGACACAGTAACACAGGAAGTTGTACACTCCCAGCGATAGTGAGAAAAATATCATCCTCTTTTTCCCTTGGATATTAAAACTGTTTCAAAGGGGGTTGTACAACCCATGGGATATTAAGAGTAATATCCTCTCCCCCAACTAAATTTGAGGAAAAATATCACAGGGAGGGTGTACACCCCGTGTGATATTGGGAGTCATATTATTCTCTCCTCCCCCCTGTGTATTAGGAACAATATCACAGAGGGAGGGTGCACACTCTGCGATATTGGGAGTAAAATCACTATCTTCCCGCCTTAATATTAGGAAAAATATCACTGGGAAAGTGTACAACACTGCGATACTGATAGTAATATAATCCTCTTCCTCCTTTTGTATTAAAAGCAATATCACAGGGCGCGTGTAAACACCCTGCAATATTGGAAGTAATGTCAACCTCTCCCCATCCTGTATATTAGAAAGAATATCACAGAAAGTGTGTACAACCCATGCAATATTGAAGTAATATCATCCTCTCTTCCTCTGGATATTAGAAAAAATATTATAGGGTGGTGTACACAGTCTGCCATATTGAAAGTAATATCATTCTTTTCCTCCATTATTATTAAAAACAATATCACTGGGTATTGTAAACTCCCCGCGATTTTAGGAATAATATCATACTCTCCCCCCACCCCCCGTATATTGAGAATAATATCACAGGGGAGTTGTACACCCTGTGTGATATTGCAGGCAATATCATCTTCTCTCAACTTCGTTACTAAAAAACATCACAGAGGAATGTACACACCATATGATATTGGGAATGATATTATACTCTCTGCTCTTAAGTATTAGAAACTATCACAGGGGGAGTGTACACCACATGCAATATTTATAGTAATATCATTTTCTCTCCTCATGTATATTAGAAACAATATCCTAGGAAGTGGGGTAAAGCCTCTGCGTGGTTAGGGGTAAAATTATCCTCTCCCCTCCTGGATATTACGAGGAATATCACAGAGGGGTATACAGCCCCTGTGATATTGAAAGTAATATCATACTGTCCTTCACTGGAAATTAGGAACAATATCACAGCTGATGTGTAAATCTTCTGCTATATTGGGAGTAATATCATCCTCTCTCCGTCTGGATATTAGGAACAATATTACAGAGGGGTGTGCACTCCTTGCGATATTGGGAGTCATATCACCCTCTCGCCCCCGGATATTAAAAACAATATCACAGGAAAGTTGTACACCTGTTGCTATATTGGGAGGAATATCAACCTCTCTCCCCACTGAATATTTGGAAAAATTTCACAGTGGCAGTGTACACTCCCTGCGATATTGAGAGTAATAATATACTCTCATCTCCTGGATATTAAAAACAATATCACAGGGGGGATCTACAATTCCTGTGATATTGAAAGTAATATCATACTCTTCTCCCCTGAATATGAGGACCAATATCACAGGGTGGGAGTATGCCTTCTGCTATATTGAGAGTAGTATTATCCTCTCCCCTCCTGGATATTAGAAGCAATATCACAAAAGAGGATGTATACCTTCTGCGATATTGGGAATAATATCATCCTCTCCCCACCTGGATATTAACAACAATATCACAGGAGGGTTTACACGTACTGCGATATTGGGAGTAGTATCATCCTCTCTTTCACTGGATATTAAAAACAATCTCACGGGGGGGTATACACTCTGTGCGATATTGGGAGTAATATCATCCTCTCCCCGTCTTGATATTAGAAATGATATCACAAGGGGTGCGTATACCGTCTGTGATATTGACAGTAATATCATCCTCTTCTCCCTTGAATATTAGAAACGTTATCACAGGAGGTGTGTACACCCCCTGCTACATTGCGATTAATATCATCCTCTTTTCCCCTTGATATTAGAAACAATGTCACAAAGCTAGTGTACACCACCTGCAAAATTGGGAGTAATATCATTCTCTCTTCTAGATATTAGGAACTATATCACAGGAGGAAAGTACAACTTCTGCGATATTGGGAGTAATATCATCTGCTCCTTTTCTGGATATTGGGAACAATATCAAAGGAGGGGTTAACACCCTCTGTAATATGGGAGTAACATCATTTTTTCCCTTCCTTGATATTAGCAACAATATCACGGGGGCGGGGGGTGTTCACTTCTGCAATGTTGGGAGTTAGAGCAGGCTCTTAACCATTGGATATTAGGAACAATATCACCGAAGTGGGGTACACCCCTTACGATATTAGGAGTAATATCAACCTTTCCCTCCCTGGATATTACGAACAATATCACACCCCATGCGATATTGGTGCGATGTTGAAAGTAATATCATCCTCTATTTCCCTTTATATTAGGAACAATCTTACAGGGGTGGGAGAAACTCCCTGAGATACTGGGAGTAATATCACCATTTCCCTCTCTGTATATTAGAAACAATATCATGGGGGGTGGTGTACACCTCACGCAATATCATTATCTCCCAACCTGGATATTAAAAACAATATCACAGGAGGGTGTACACGCCCTGTGATATTGGGAGTAATATTATCCTCTTCCCTTCTTGATTTCAGAAACAATATCACAGGAAGAGTGTACACTTCCTGCAAAATTGAGAGTAATATCGTTATCTCCCCACCCCCATGGATATTAGTTTCTAACGTGGGCATACAGCTCCTCTGATATTGGGAGTCATATTATCCTATTTTCCCTGGATATTAGGAACAATATCACAGGGGTGTGTAGATCCAACGCGATATTGAAAGTAATATGATCCTTTCTTTCATTGGAGATTGGAAACAATATCACAGGGGGAGGGTAAATCCCCTGTGATATTGAAAGTAATATTATCTTCTCTCACCGTGGATATTAGGAACAATATTACAAGGGGAGGGTACACCTTCTGCGATATTGGAACTAAGATCGTCCGCCCCCCATAAGAATATTAGGAACAATTTCACAGAAAGGGTTTACCCACCCTGCTATACTGAGAGTAGTACCATCCTTTTCCCTTCTGGATATTAGGAACAATATCACAGGGGGAGTGTACAGCCCTTGAGATATTGGAAGTAATACCATCCTCTTTATCCCTGGATATTAGAAACAACATCACAAAGCGGGTGTACACCCCCTGCGATGTTGGGAGTGATATCATTTATTCCCCCCTGGATATTAGAAACAATATAACAAGGGGGTTGTACACCCTCTGTGATATTGAGAATGATAGCATCCTCTCTCCCCCTGGATACTAGGAACAATATCACAGGGATAGTTTACACTCCCTGCTATATTGGGAGTAATATCATATTTTCCCCCTGAATATTAGAAAATATATCACGGAGGGGAGAGGGTGTACAACACCTGCGAAATTGAAAGTAATATCTTTCTCTTTTCCTCTGAATATTACAAACAATATCACAAATGGGTTGTACAACCTCTTTGATATTAGAATTAATATCATTTTCTCTCCACTTGGATATTAGAAACAATATCAAGGAGGGGCGAGGGTGTACACCATCTGTGATAGTGAAAGTAATATCACCCTTTCTTCACTGGGATGTTAGGAACAATATCACTGGGGGAGGTCTACACCCCTTGCAATATTGAGAATAATATCATCTTCTCTCCCCTGGATATTAGGAAAAATATCAAAGGGGAAGTGTACACCCCAAGGGATACTGGGAGTAATATTATGCTCTCCCTCATTAAATATTAGGAACAATATCAAAGCGAGGGTGTACACCCCTGCGATTTGGGGAGTAATATCATTCTCTCCTCCCTCCCTGTATATTAGGAACAATATCACAGAGGGACTGCACACAAACTGTGATGTTGGGAGTAATATCATCCTCTTCCCCCTGTGGGTATTAGGAAAAATATCACTGGGAAGGTGTAAACCCCCTCAGATATTGAAAGTAATATAATTCTCTTCCTCCCTTCGTATTAGAAACAATATCAAGGTGGGGGAGTGGTGTGAACTCCCTGAGATATTTTGAGTAATAGCATCAGCTTCCACCCTGTGTATTCGGAGAAATATTTCAGAGGGTGTATACACCCTGTGCAATATTGCAAGTAATATAATTCTCTCCCAACCAGGATATTAAAGACAGTATCACAGGAGGACGTACATGCCTTGCGATATTGGGAGTAATATTATCCTCTTCTCTCCTGGATATTAGAAACAATATCACAGGGGGAGTGTACACCCCCTGTGATATAGAGAGTAACATCATTTTCTCCCCCCTGAATATTAGAAACAGTATCACGGGGGGGGGGGGGTTGTACAGCCCCTGCGATATTAGGAGTAATATTTTATTTCCCCCCCCCAGGTATTAGGAGCAATATCTCAGGAAAGTGTAAACCCACTGTGACATTGAAAGTAATATCATCCTCTTTCACTGGAAATTAAGAACAATATCACAATATGTGATATTGGTAGTAATGTCATCCTCTTTCCGCCACAGTATTAGAAACAATATTATGGAAGGTGTGTACACTCCCTGAGGTATTGGAAGTAATATCATCCTCTCTACCTTTTAATATTAAAAACCATATTACAGCTACGTTGTAGACTTGCTGCGATATTGGGAGTAATATCATCCTCTTCTCAACTGGGTATTAGAAGCAATATCACAGAAGGGTGTACACTCCCTCACTCTCAATGATATTGAGAGTAATAGCATTTTCTCCCTTCCTGGATATTAGACACAATATCACAGGGAAGATGTACAGCCCCTGCGATATTGGGAGTAATCTTATTTGCCAGCCCCCTGGATATTAGGAACAATATCAGAGGGAGGTGTACACTCTCTGCGATATTGAAAGTAATACAATCGTCTCCTTTCCTGGATTTTAGAAACAATATTACAAGAAGGGTGTACACCCTTTGCAATATTTGGAACAATATCATCCTCTTCCTCTCTGGATATTAGGAACAATATTACAAGGGGGTGTACACTTCCTGAGAAATTGGGAGTAATATCATCTTCTCCCCGCCTGGATATAAGGAACAATATCACAGCGGGGTGTACCCAGTCTGCGATGTTGGGAGTAATATCATCCTGTCCCCACCCCCCGATATTAAAAACAACATCACAAGGGGGAGTACAGTGCTTGAGGCATTGGGAGTAATGTCATCCTCTCTCTCCCTGGATATTAGGAGCAATATCACAGGGGGTGTGTACAGTTTCTGCGATAACGAGAATAATGTCATCCTCTCCCATCCTGGATATTAGAAACAATATCAAAGGTTGGGTGTACACTTTCTGCGATATTGAAAGTAGTATCATCATTATTCCCCCTGGATATTATGAACAATATCACAAGGGGTGTACATCCCCCATGATATTGGGAGTAAGATCATCTTCTTCCCCTCCGAATATTAGGAAGAGTATCACAGGAAGGGTGTACACTTCCTGCGATATTGGGAGTTATATCACCCTCCTCTCTTCTGGATATTAGGAACAATATCACAGTAGGAGTGTACATTCCCTGCGATATTGGAAATAAAGCCATCCTTTTTTCCCACTAGATATTGAAACAGTATCACCAAAGGGGTGTACACTTTCTGTGATATTGGGAGTGACAACATTTATTTCCCCCCTTGATATTAGGAACAATATCACAGGGGGTTATAAACCCCCTGAGATATAGAGAGTGATATCATTTTCTCCCCCCCATATATTAGGAAGAATATCACAGTGGTTTGTACACTCCATGCAATATTGCAAGGAATATCCTTCTCTCCCAAAACTGGATATTAAAAACAATATCACAGTAGGATGTACAAGCCCTGCGATATTGGGAGTAATATCATCCTCTCCTCTCCTGGATATTAGAAACAATATCACAGGGGGAGTGTACACCCTCTGAGATATTGAGATTAATATTATTTTCTTTCCCAGGATATTAAAAACAATATCAAAAGATGGGGGTACACCGCCATTGCGATATTGGGAGTAATGTTATCTTCTCCTTTCCCTGGATTTTAGAAACGGTATTACAGGGGTGTGTACACCCCCTGTGAAATTGAAAGTAATATTATCCTCTCCTTCACTGGAAATTGAGAACAGTATCACAGGGGGTGTGTAAACCCCCTGAGATGTTGAAAGTAATGTCATCCTCTTGTTGGGATTCACTCAGGATGGTGGCAGAAATATTGAAGAGAAATATTAGGGGAAGATATAGGGAATAGTCACAAATCTTTTTGGAAGGCTGAAAGGTTAGATAGCTTATAATAATTGAACAGGCTGAAGGAGGCCTGTTCTTACCCTAGAGCATTAGGTCATAGGGTAAATACTAGAGACAATAAAGGCTTCCCCAGTTAAGTCTTACTTGCCCCCTAATGGTATTTACTTTAGACCGCGGTACCTGAGCTTTAATCATTTGTAGTACTACTCTCTTAACCATGTTAATTATCCTCAAGTGTGTTTACCCAAAGCTTCTCTTGTTAATTCTGTACTAAATAAATGCCTGGAGTACCAGCTGAACGGGCCCGGCCAGCAGTGACAAACATCTTTTGGTGTGTAGGTGGTCGGACACTCAGCAGGACTGGCAAAACAGAATATCTGTGTGTCAGTGTACGTTTATTCATCCGTCGCCAGGTTAGGGGTCTGCAAGGGACAGACTCCCCGCCACTAGTGCCACCGCGAAAGGAGCGCTACCTCATCCTCTCTCCCCGTGGATATTAGGAATAATATTACGGGACGGGGTGTACACCCACTGCAATATTGGGAGTAATATCAGCCTTTCCCCAGCTGGATATTGAAAACAATATCACAGGAAAGCTGTACACCTGCTGCGATATTGAGAGTAATATCTCTTCCCTCCTTGATATTAGATACAATATCACAGGTGGGGGTGTACACCCTCTATTATAGTGAAAATAATATCCTCTCCACCCCTCGATATTAGAAACAATATCTCCTGGGGTGGTGTACTTTCCCTGCGATATTGAGAGGAATATCATTTTCTCCCAACCTAAATATTAAGAATAATATCACAGAGGAGGTTCCTTCCCCCCGCACCTTGTGATATTGAGATTAATATCATCCTATCCACCACTGGGCATTAGGAAAAATAACAAAGGGTGGGTGTACACACCCTGGGATACTGGAAGTAATATTATCTCTCCACCTAAATATTAGGAAAAATATCAAAGGAAGGGTGTACAACACTTCGATATTTGGAGCAATATTGTCCTCGCGCCCCCTGTATATTAGGAAAAATATCATAGAGCGAGTGTACACCTCCTGCAATATTAAGAGTAATATAATCCTTTATGCCCCTGGATATTAGGAAAAAAAATCACTGGGAAGGTGTACAACCCCTGTGATATGGAAAGTAATATAATCCTCTTCCTCCCTTCATATTATAAAAAAAATCACAGGGAGGGTGTAAACTCCCTGTAATATTGGGAGTAATATAATCCTCTCCCCCCCGTGATATCCCCCTGAAATATTGGGAGTAATATCCAAGAGGGAAAAGGATATTACTCCTAATATCGCAGGGGGTGCACACCATCTGTGTTATTGTTCTTAGTACATAGGTTAGGAGAAAATGATATTAGTCCCAATATCGCAGGGGGTGTACACTCTTTTGTTGATATTGTTTTTGATATACAGGGGTAGAGGATGATATTACTCCCAATGTCGCAGGAGGTGTACACACCCCCTGTGATATTGTTTCTAACATCCAAGTGTAGGGAAATTGATATTACTTTTAATATCAAAGAAGGTGTACACCTTCCCTGTGATATTGTTCCTAATATTCAGGGGGTAAGAAGTTTATACTACTTTCAATATTGCAGGGGTTGTACACCTCTTCTTTGATGTAGTTCCTAATATCCAAGAATGGAAAGAATGATATTACTCTTATTATAGCAGGGGATGTGTGCCTCCCATGTCATGTTGTTCCTAATATTCTGTGGTGAGACGATGATATCGCTTCTAATATGGCAGGGGATGTACACCCCCATATTATGTTGTTCATAATATCCAGAAGGGAGAGAATGTCATTACTCCCAATATTTCAGGGTGTGTACACACCCCCTACAATATTGTTCTTAATATCCAGTGGGAGAGAGGATAAAATTACTCCCAATATCAAAGGGGGTGTACATTTCCCCTGTGATATTGTTCTTAATATCCAGGGGAAGAGAGAATGATATTACTCTCAGTATGGCAGAGGGTGTACACCACCCGTGTGGTATTGTACCTTATATATTGGAGGGGAGAGATATTAGTTTCAATATCGCGGAGTGTACATCCCCCTTGCGATATTGTTTTTAATATCCGGGGGGAGAGGAAAATATTGCTCCTAATATCACAGGGGGTGTACATCTTTTTGCAATGTTGTTCCTAATATCCGGGGGGAAGAAAATAATATTGCTCCCAATATCGCAAAGGGTGTACAACTTTTCTGTGATATTGTTGCTAATAACCAGAGGGTAAGAGGATGACATTACTTCCAAAATGACAGGGGGTGTACACTTTCTTCGTAATATTATCCCTGATATCCAGAAGGAAAGAGGATATTACACACAGTATTGCAGAGTGTGTGCTCCACTTGTATGTTCCTAATGTTTAGGAAGGAAGAGGAAGATATTACTCCCAATATCAAAGGGGGTGTACACACTTCCTGTGATATTGTTCCTAATATCTGGGGGGGAGTGGTGCGTGAAGAAATCATATTATTCCCAATATCGCAGGGTGTGTACACCCGCTCTTTAATATTGTTTCTAATATCCAGTGTGGGAGAGGATGTTTTTAACCCAATATCGCAGAAGGAGTACAGGAGATATTGTTCTTAATATTCAGAGGTGGAGAAGATGATATTACTCTCAATATCCCAAGAAGTGTACAAACCCCCTGTAATATTGTTCTTAATATCCAGGAAGGGAGAGGATGCTATTATTTCTAATATTGCAGGAGATGTAAACCTCCCTTATGATATTGATCTCAATATCCAGGAAAAAATAGAATGATATTACTGTGAATATTACAGGGGCTGTACACCACCCCCTGTGATATTGTTCCTAATATCCAGTGGGAGAGATGATATTACTCCTAATATCGAAGGGGGTGTACACCTTCCCTGTGATATTGTTCCTAATATCCAGAAGAAGTGGAGAGGAGGATATTACCCTCAATTTGGCAGGAGGTGAACACCCTCTGTGATATTGTTCTTAACACTTAGTTTGGGAGAAAATGATAGTTTCAATATCGCTGAAGGTGTACACTTCCCCAGTGATTTTTTTTAATGTCCAGGCGGGGGAGATGATGATGTTACTCCCAATATCGCAGTGGGTGTACACCATTTCTGTGATATTGTTCCTAATATCCTAATATCCAGGCGGGGAAAAAATAATATTACTCACAATATCGCAGGAGGTACACCTATTGTTAGGAACAATATCACATGGGAGGCAACCCCTGTGATATTGTTTCTAATATTCAGGGAGAAAGAGGTTGATATTATTTTCAATATCACAGAGGTTGTACAGCTTTCCTGTAATATAGTTCCTAATCTCCAGGAAAATAGAGCATAATATTACTCCTTTAATAGCAGGGGGTGTACGGTCCCCGCCCCCCGTGATATTTTTTCTAATATTTAGGGAATGTGAGGATGATATTACTCCCAATATTGTAGGGGTTGTCCACCCCTCCTGTGATATTTTTCCTAATATCCAGTAGAAAAGAGGATGATATTACTCCCAATGTTGCGGACAGTGTACACGCTTCCTGTGATATTGTTCCTAATATCAGGGAGGGAGAAGATGTTGCTTTCAATATCGCAGGAAGTGTACACCCCCTATGTGATATTGTTCAAAATATTTAGGGAAGAAGAGGATGATATTATTCCCAATATCTCAGGGGGGAAAACCCAGCTGTGATATTGTTCATAATATCCAGAAAAAAAGAGGTTGATATTACACTGAATATTCCAGGGAGTGTACACCAGCTTGTGGTATTGTTTGTAATATCCTGAAGAGGAGAGAATAATATGACTCCCTATCGCAGGAGGTTTTCAAACCTTTGATTATAGTTTGAAATATCTAGAAGCAGATAAAATAATATAAATAAATAAAATAATACACCCCCCTGTGAGATTGTTCATAATACTCAGGGGGAAAGAAAATAATATTACTCCCAATATTGCACTGGATGTACACCCCCCTGTGATAGTGTTCGTTATATCCAGGAAGGGAAAAGATGATATTGTTTCCAATATTGTAAATTTCGTGTGTGTACCCCCCGTTGGAATATTGTTCGTAATATCCAGGGAATCAGAGGGTACTACTAGTCCCAAAATCACAGGAGGTGTACACCTACACTATGATATTGTTCATAATATCCAGGGAAAGACAGGATGATATTACTCCCAATATCACAGGGTATGTACACTCCTACTGTGATATTGTTTCTAATATTCATGGAAGGAAAGGATGATATTCCCACCAATATCGCAGGCCATGTGCATCCCCCAGTGATACTGTTCCTAATATCCAGGCAGGGAGAGGATGACATTCCACCCAATATCGCAGGGGGTTTAGCACCCCCCCCCCGCCGAGATACTGTTTATAATATCCATTTGGGAAAGGATGATAATACTCTGTATTTAGCAGGGGCTGTACACCCACCCTGTGATATTGTTCCTAAAACCCAGGGGGAAGAGAATAATATAACTCCCAATATCACAGGGTGTGAATCCCCACTGGTGATATTGTTCCTAATATCCAGGAGAGAAAGGATGGTATTACTCCCAATATCACAGAAGGTGTACATCCTTCCTGTGATATTTTCCCTAATATCTCAGCGGGGGATGGGGAGAAAATGATATTACTTCCAATATCACAGAAACTGTACACACTCACTCTGATATTGTCCCTAATATTCAAGGGAAAAGAGGATGATATTACTTCTAGTATTGCAGAAGCTGTACACCCCACCTGTGATATTGTTTCAAATATCTCCCCCTTTTTCCCTGGTTATTAAGAACCAGGTGGACACACCCAGTGATATGGGGAGTAATAGCACCTCCCTCCACCCCGGCAATTACGATCCGTATCACAGGGGGGTGGACACCCCCCGCGATATTGGGAGTACTAGCACTCCTCTCTCCCCCATTGGCTATTACGAACCGTATCACAGAGGTGTGGACACCTCCCCTGATACTGGGGGTACTATCGCCCCCCTCTGCACCCCTGGCTATTACCAACCATATCACAAGGGGGTGGACACCTTCCGCGATATGGGGAGTACTATCACCCCCGTCTCCACCCCTGGCTATTACGAACCATATCACAGGGGGTTGGACATATAGGATTTTTATGATATTGGAAGTAATATTATCTTTTCCCCTGGATTTTATGAACAGCAACACACTGGGGTGGACACACAGGATTTTTATGATATGGGAAGTATCTCTTTGCCTGGATATTACAAACAATATCACATGAGGGTGTATACTGCCTGTGATTTGGGGAGTAATGTCATACTCTTATTTCTTGGATATTAGGAACAATATCATAGTGGGTTTTACACTCTATTTTATATTGGGAGTTACGTGTTTTTCTTTTTTTTTTTTGGATATTAAGAAGAATATCACAAGTAGGGTGTACAACTCTTGCGACATTGGAAGTAATACACTGACCCTTCATGGATATTAGGAACAATATCAGGACGGTAGTGTACACTTTCTGAGATATTGAGAGTAATATAATCCTCTCTCTTAATGGATATTCAGAACAATATCACTGGTGTGGTGTTTCCCTCTCTGATATTGGGAGTAGTATCAACCTCTCTCCCCCTGGAATTTAGGAACAATATCATAGGGCGGTTGTACACCTTCTGCGGTATTAGGAAGTAAAATCATCCTCTCCCCCCCTGAATATTACGAACAATATCAAAGGGGGTCGTACACCCCCTGCGACATTGGGAGCAATATCATCCTCTATCCTCCTGGATATTACAAACTACATCAAAGCGGGGGGGATACACCCTCTGTGATATTAAGAGTAATAACATCTTTTTTTCGGGGATATTAAAAACTATATAATATGGGAGTTGTACACCCCCTGCGACATTTGGAGTAATATCATCGTCTCTCCCTCTGGATGTTAGGAGAAATATCACTGTGGGGGTGTACGCTGCCAGCAATTTTGGGAGTAATGTCTTCTTCTCTCCCCCTGGATATTAAAAACAATATCACAGGAGGGGTGTACACCCCCTGCGATATGGGACGTAATATTATTCTCTCCTCCCGCCCCGGGTATTAGAAACAGTATCACAGGAAGGGTGTACAGTCTGTGCAATATTGGGTGTAATATCATCCTCTTCCACCCCGGATATTATCACAAAAGGTGATACTGGAGGTAATATCATCTTCTTCCTTTATGGATCTTAGAAACAATATCAGAGGGGTTGTGTACACCCTCTGTGATATTGATTTATGTCATTTTCTTTCTTCATAGATATTAGGAACAATATCACATGGGTGGTGTACACTTCCTGCGATATTAAGAGTATTATCATCCTCTTTTATTTTAGATATTAGCAACAATATCACAGGGGCGTTGTACGCCTTCTGCGATATTGGAAGTAATGTCATCCTCTCTCCTCTTGGATATTATAAACAATATCACAGGAAGGGTGGACACCCCCTGCGATATTGGGAGTAATATCAACCTCTTTTTTCTGGATATTACGAACATATCATAGCCGGAGTGTACATTTCCTGCGATATAACTTATAATATCACTCTGTCCCTTCCTGTATATTAGGAACAATATCACAAGGGGGGTGGACATCCCCTGCAATATTGGGATTAATATTCTCCTCTTTTTCCCTGGATTATAGAAAAATATCACAGAAGAAGTGTACATCCCCTTCGATATTGGAAGTAGTATCATTCTCTTCTTTCTGGATATGAGAAACAATATCACAAGGGGGGTGTACAAACTCTGTGATATTGGGAGTACTATGATCTTCTCTCTTCCTGGATACAAGGAACAATATAACAGGGTGTGTTTACACCTTTTGCATTATTGGGAGTAATGTCATCCCCTCTTCTACCGGATATTAGAAACAATCTCACAGGGGGTGTGTACATCCCCTGCTATATTTGGAGTAATATCATTCTCTTCTCCCCTGGATATTAGGAACCACATCACAGGGCGGGTGTACACCCACTTCAATTTTGGGACTAATATCATTCTCTCTTCTTAGATATTAAAAACAATATCCCAGTGGGTTGTATACACACCCTGCGATATTGGGTGTAATATTATCCTCTTTTTCCCTCGATATTAGGAATAATATCACAGACGGTTGAACGTTTTCTGTAATATTTGGAGTAATATTATTCTTTCCCTTCCTGGATATTATAAACAATATCACAGGGGGGTGTTTACCTCCTGTGGTATTGGAAGTAATATCAGCCACTTAAACGTTGATATTTGGAACAATATCACAGTGGTGATGCACACTCCCTGGGATATTGAAAGTATTATCATCCTTTCCCCCTGGATATTAGGAACAATATCACAGGGGGTTGTACACCCTCTGCAATATTGCGAGTAATAACATTCTTTCCCTTTCTGAATATTAACAAAAATATCACAGGAGAGTTGTACACCTGCTGCGATATTGAGAGTAATACCATCCTCACACGCACTGTATAATAGGAATAATATCATGGAAGGATATACATGCAGTGCGATATTGCAAGTAATATCATCCTCTTCCAACTTTGATATTAAAAACAATTTTTCAGGGATGTGTACACGTGCTGCATAATTAGGAGTATCATTATTTTCTCCCATCCTTTATATTCGGAACAATATCAAAAGGGGAGTGCCCACCCACTGCGATATTGAGAGTAATATCATTTACTCTCCCACTGTAGATATTAGAAACAATATCACAGTGACAGCCTATAGCCCCTGCGGTATTGGGAGTAATATTCTCCTCTAGCCCCCGGATATCAGGAAAAATATTATAGGGGGGTGTACACCCCCTGCGATGTTGAAAATAATATCATCCTCTCCTTCATTGGATATTAGGAACAATATCACAAAGGTAGAGTAAATATCCTGGGATATTGAAAGTAATATCATCCTCTCCCCCTCTAGATATTAAAAACAATATTACAAGAAAGTTGTACATCTGTGATATTGGGAGTAATGTCATTTTCTCCCCCCTACTCCACATATTAAGAACAATATAACAAAGGCAGTGTGCACGCCCTGTGATATTGGGATAACGTCATCTTTTCCCCTCCTGAATATTAGGAACAATATTCCGGGGGTGGTGTACACCCTCTGTGATAATGGGAATAATATCATCCTATCCACTACTGGATATTATACCAGAAGGGTAATATCACAAGAAGGGGTGTACACCCCCTGCGATATTGGGAGTAATTTCATCCTCTTGTCCCCTGGATACTAGAAAAAATATCACAAGTTGGTTTACATCCCTGCAATTTTGGAAGAAATATACTTTCTTCCAATGGATATTAGAAACAATCTCAAAGGGGGGCTGTACACCACCTGCGATATTGGGAGCAATATAATCTTCTCCCCCTCCTTGATATTAGAAACAATATCATAGGGAGGGTGTGAACCCCATGTGAATTGACAGTAATATCATCCTCTCCCTCACTGTATATTAGGAAAAATATCACAGGGTGGGTGTGCAATTTCTGCGATGTTGGGAGTAATATCATCCTCTTTTCTCCTGGATATTAGGAACAATATCACAGGGTGGGTGTACACTCTCTGCAATATTGGGAGTAATATCGCCCTCTCTTCCACTAGATATTAGGAATAATACCACGGAAATGGGCGTGTACACCGCCTAGGATAATGGAAGTAATATCATCTTCTCTTTCCCTGGATATTAGGAACAATAATATAGGTGGGGGTGAACACCCCCTCTGATATTGAAGTATTATTCTCTCACCCCCTGGATATTAGGAACAATATCACAAGAAGATTGTACATCCTTTGCAGTATTGGGGGTAATATTATCCTCTCTCCCCCTGGATATTATAAACTATATTACAAGGGGGGGTGTACATCCCCTGCCATATTTGGATTAATATCATCTTCTTCCCCCAAAATATTTAAAAAAATATCACAGCGAGGGTGTCCACCCCTGCGATATTGGGAGCAATATCCTTTCACCCCCTCCCCAGAAATTAGGAACAATATCACGGGTGGGTGCGCACCCCCGATATTAGGAGTAATATCATCCTCTTCCCTTCTGGATGTTAGGGACAATATTGTACTGGGAGTTTATAACCCCTGCGATATTGGCAGTAATATCCTCTTTCCTTGATATTAGGAACAATATCACAGGTGAGGATATTGGTAGTGATTTCATTTATTCCTCCCTTAAATATTAGAAGCAATAACACAGGGCGGGTGTACACCCCCTACAATATTGAGGGTGATATTCTCTCCCTTCCTAAATATTAGAAACAATATTACAAATGAGGGGTGTACACCCCTTGCTATCTTGGGATTAATATAATCCTCTCCCCCACTGGATATTAGAAGTTATATCACAGGGGTTGTGTGTACAACCCCTGTGATACTGGAAGTAATATCATCTTCTTTCCTCCTTAATATTAGGAACAACATCACAGGGGGTGGGACACCCCTAGGATGCTGGGAGTAACATCATTTTCTATCCGCCTGCATATTAGAAACAATATCACGGGGGGGGTGGGAGTGTATACCCCCTGCTATAGTGGAAGTAATATCATCCTCTCCGCCCCTGGATATTAGGAAAACTATCACCGGGAAGGGTGTACACCCCCTGCGATATTAGGAGTTACAATATTTTCTCCCAACCTAAATATTAAGAACAATATCACAGGCGGTTGCATATTCCCTGAGATATTGAGAGTAATATCATTCTCTCCTCCCCTGGCCATTAAAAACAATTTCAAAGCGGGGGGTGTATAACCCCTGGAGTATTGGGAGTAATATCATCCTCTTCCCCCCTAAATATTAGGAACAATATCACAAAAAGGGTGTACACCCCTTGAGATATTGGGAGTCATATCACTCTCTCCTATCCCCTGTTTATTAGGAACAATATCACAGAGGGAGAGTATGCACTCTGCAATATTGGGAGTAATATTATCCTCTTCCCACTTTAATATTAGGAAAAATATCACTGGGAATGTGTACAACACTGCGATATTGAAAGTAATACAGTCCGCTTCTTCCCTTCATATTAAAAACAATATCACAGGGCGGATGTAAACTCCCTGCGATATTGGGAGTGGTATCATTCTCTCCTATCCCCGTATATTAGGAAGAATATCACAGGGAGTGTGTACACCCCGTGTGATATTGCAAGTAATATCATCTTCTCCCAACCTGGATATTAAAAAAATCACAGAGGGGTGGACACTCCCTGCGATATTGGGAGTAATGTCATCCTCTCCTCTCCTGAATATTGGAAGCAATATTAAAGGGGATTGTACACCCCCTGCGATAATGAGATTAATATTCTTTTCTCCCCCTCTGGGTATTAGAAACAATATCACAGGGGAGGTGTACATCCTCCGCAATATTCGGAGTAATATTCTCTCCTACCCTGAATATTATGAACAGTATCATAGGTGGGTGCATACTCTCTGTGATATTGAAAGTAATATTATTCTGTCCTTCACTGGAAATTAAGAACAATATCACAGAGAGTGTGGAAACCCCTGTGATATTTGTAGTAATATCATCCTCTCCCCATGGATATTAGGAAAAAATATTATGGGAGGTGTACACCCCCTGCAATATTGGGAGTAATATCATCCTCTCCATCCCTGGATATTAAAAACAATATCACAGGAAAGTTGTATACCTGCTGGGATGTTGTGAGTAATATCATCCTCTTGCCCTCTGGATATTAGGAACAGTATCACAGAGAGAATTTACACCTCTACTATAATGGGAGAAATATCATCATTTTCACGCCTCGGTATTAAAACAATATCACTGGGGGCGGTGTACTCCCCTTGCTATATTGGGAGTACTATCATTTTCTCCCAACCTAAATATTAAGAACAATATCACAGGGGAGGTTGCTCCCTCATACAATATTGAGAGTAATCTCATCCTCTCCTCCCCTGGATATTAGGAAAACTATCAAAGTGGGGGTGTACTCCCTCTGAGATGTTGGAAGTAATATCATCCTTTCTCCACACAAATATTAGGAATAATATCAATGGGAGGGTGAACACTCCTTTGATATTGAGAGTAAAATTATCCTCTCCCTGCCTGTAGTATATTAGGAACAATATCACAAACCAAGGGTATACACCCTGAAATATTAAGATCAATATTCTCTCCCCCCTGGATATTAGAAAAAATATCACTGGAAAGGTGTACAACTGCTGCAGTATTGAAAGTAATATAATTCTCTTCCTCCCTTCTTATTAGAAAAAATACCACAGGAGGGGGTGTAAACTCCCTGCGATATTGGGAGTAATATCATCCTCTCCCCCCGTATATTAGAAACAATATCACAGGGGGTGTGTACGCCCCATGCAATATTGCAAGTAATATCATCCTTTCCCAACCTGAATATTAAAAACTGTATCACAGGGAGGTGTACAAACCCTGTGATATTGGAAATAATATCATCCTCTCCTCTTCTGGATATTAGAAACAATATCACAGGGGGAGTGTACATCCCTGCCTGCGACATTAAGACTAATATCACTTTCTCTTCCCCTGTGTATTAGAAACAATATCACAGGGGGAGGGAAGTATCCCCTGTGGTATTGGGAGTAATATTATCTTCTCCTCTGGATATTAGGAACAATACCACAGGGGGGTGTAGACCCCCCTGTGGTATTGAAAGTAATATCCTCTCCTTCACTGAAATTAAGAACAATATCACGGGGGGGGGGGTTGTAAACCCCTGTGATATTGGGAGTAATATTATCCTCTCCCCCACCCGGATATAAAGAAAAATATTACAAGGGGGTGTACATGTTCTGCGATATTGGGAGTAATATCATCCTCTCCCATCTTGGATATTAAAAGCAATATCACAGGAAAATTGTACACCTGCTGCATTACTGGGAGTAATATCATCTTCTGCCCCCCCTAGATATTAAGAACAATATCACGGGGGGCTACACACTCCCTGCATTATTGGGAGTAATATCAACCTCCCCCCTCCTGGATATTAGGAACAATATCAAAGTTGGTGTGTACACTCTCTGCAATATTGGGAGTAATATCATCCTCTTTCCCCCTGGTTATTAGGAACAATATCACAGGGTGGGTGTGCACCCCCTGTGATAATGAGAGTAAAATCATCCTCTTCCCCCCTAGATATTAGAAACAATATCTCAATGGGGGGTGTACACTCTCTGCAATATTGAGGGTAATCTCATCCTCTCCCCTCTGGATATTAGGAACAATATTACAAAGAAGTTTACACCGCCTGCAATAATGGAAGTAACAGCCCCTCTTTCACTGGATATTAGAAACAATCTCGCAGGGAGTGTGTACAACCCCTGCGGTATTGGGAGTAATATCATCCTTTTCCCCCTTAGATATTAGGAACAATATCACAGGACTAATGTACAACCCTTGCATTATTGAGAGTAACATCATCCTGTCTTTTCCTAGATATTAGAACGATATCACAGGGGGTGTACACACCCTGCGATATTGGGACTAATATCATCCTCTCTTTCCCTCGACATTAGGAACAAAATCACAGGGGGGTTGAACACTTTCTGCGATATTTGGAGTAATATCATTCTTTTCCTTCTTGGATATTAGAAATAATATCACAAATGGTGTTTTCGCCACCTGCGGTTTTGGGAGTGATATCAGCCTCTTAGTCTTTGGATATTAGAAACAATATTACAGCGGGGCATGTACACCCTCTGTGATATCGAAAGTAACATCATCCTCTTTCCCTCTGGATATTAGCAATAATATCACAGGAGAAGTTGTACACCCCCTGCGATATTGGGAGTAATAACCTCTCCCTGCTGGATATTAGGAACAATATCACAGAATTGGTGTACACCTCCTGCTACATTGAAAGTAATATCATCCTGTCTCTCCCTTCTTATTGGGAACAATATCTCAGAGGTGGGGTGTAAATTCTTGCGATATTGGGAGTAATATCATCCTCTTACCTCCTGGATATTAGGAACAATATCACAGAGGGAATGTACACCCCCTGCGATATTGATAGTAATATTATTTAATACCCTTCTGGATATTAGAAACAATATCACAAGGGGTGAGTACAACCCCTGCAGTATTGGGAGTAATATTATTTTCTCCCGCCCCCGATATTAGAAAAAATATCACAGGTGTTGTACACCCCCTGCAATATAGAAAGTGAAATCATCCTCTTCTTTACTGGATACTAAGAACAATGTTACTGGGGGTGTGTAAACCCCCTGAGATATTTAAAGTAATATTCTCGTCTCTCCCCTGGGATATTAAAAACAATATTACAGGAAAGTTTACACCTTCTGCGATATTGAGAGAAATATCATTTCTTTCCTCTCTTGATATTAAGAACAATATTAAAGGGGGGTGTACACCCTCTGCAATATTTGGAGTAATGTCATCTTTTCCTCTCCTGGATATTAGGAACAACATTGCAGGTGTTTTGTACATCCCCTGCGGTATTGGAATTAATATCATCCTCTTCTCCCCTGGATATTAGAAAGAATATCACAAAGGGAAAGTGTACATCCCCTGCGATATTGGGAGTAATATCATCCTCTTACCCCCTGTATATTAGAAAATATATCACAGGGGGCTTACACTCATGCAATGTTGGAAGAAATATTATCATTTCTTCCCCTGGATATTAGAAACAATCTCACAGGAGGGGTGTACACCCCCTGCGATATTGGGAGTAGTATAATCTCCTCCCCCCTTTATATTAAAAACAATATCGCAGGGAGGTGTAACCTCCCTGTGATATTTACAGTAATATCATCCTCTCCCCTACTGGATATAAGGAACAATATCACAAGAGGGATGAACACCCCCTGCGATATTATGAATAATATCATCTTCTTTTCTCTTGAATATTAGGAACAGTATCAGAGGACGGGTGTACACCCCCTGCAATATCAGGAATGATATAATCCTCTCTTCCTCTAGATATTATGAACAATATCATCATCTTTTTCCTTGGATATTAGAAACAATATCATAGAGTGGGGCTTACACCCCCCATGATATTTGTAGTAATATCATTCTGTTCCCTCCTGGATATTAGAAACAATATCACAAGGAGGTTGTACATCCTTTTTAATATTGGGGTAATATCACCCTCCCTCCCTCTGGAAATTAGGAACAATATTACAGGAAACCTGTACACCTCCTGCCATATTTGGAGTGATATCTTTTTCTCCCCACCCTGGATATTTAATGCAATATCACAGGGGTGGTGTACAGCCTCTGCAAAATTGGGAGTAATATACTTTTCTCCCCTGATATTAGAAGCAATATCAAAAGGGGGTGTACACACCTTGCCATACTGGGAGTAATATCTTCTCTTTCTTTGGAAATTATGAACAATATCACACGGGGGTGTGTACACTTTCTGCAACAATGAGAGTGATGTCATTCTCTCCCCCCTGGATATTAGGAACAATATCACATGGTGGGTTTACACTCCCTGCCATATTGAAAGCGGTATCATCCTCTTTTCTCATGGACATTATAAACAGTATCACGGGGGGGTGTATAACCCCTGCAATATTGGAAGTAATATCCTCTCCCCCTCTGAATATTAAAAACAATATATCACAGAAAGAGTGTACACCCTCTGCGATATTAGGAGTAATATCATCCTCTTCTCTTCTGGATATTAAGAATATTATCACAGTGGGAGTGTACAACCCCTGCGACATTGGAAGTAATATCACCCTCTTTCCTCCTGAATATTAGAAACAATATCACAGGGAAGATTTCCACCCGCTGCGATATTGAGAGTGATATCATTTATTCCCCTTCTGGATATTAGTAACAATATCACAGGGCGGGTGTACACCTCCTGCCATATTAAGAGTGATATCATCCTCTCGCTTTCTGGATATTAAGAACAATATTATATGGGAAGTGAATACCCCCTGATATTAGTGTAATATCTAATTGGGTGTATTATAACAATTTATGCTAGAACAATATACCCTAAGGAATATAAATTGTTCTACCATAAAGACACATGCACACATATGTTCACTAAAGCCCTATTCACAATAGAAAAGACATGTAAGCAACCTAAATGCTTATCAATGGTAGACTGGATAAAGAAAATGTGGTACATATACACCATGGATACTCTACAGACATAAAAAAGAATGAGATCCTGTGCTTTGCAGTAAAATGGATGGAGCTGGAGGCCATTATCTTAGGCAAACTAACACAGGAACAGAATATACCACGTGTTCTTCCTTTTAAGTGGAAACTAAACAACTAGAATACATGGACACAAAAAGGGGAATGAACAACAAACACAGGCGCCTACTTGAGGGTAAAGAATAGGAGGAAGGAGAGGATTAGCAAAACACTTATTGGGTATTATGCTTATCACCTGGGTGCTGAAATAATCTGTACAACAAACCCTCATGACACACAATTTATCTATATAATAAACCTACACATTTACCACTGAACCTAAAATAAAAGTTTAAACAAAAGGAAAATGACAGTGCTAGAACAGAATATTTTCAAAATTCTTTTTCATGCGATAGAAATCTTGACCTTATTATAGATTTTACTGGGGCCACAGAGTATTTATGGAGCACTGCACTAAAATAAGAATATATATCTCTTCATTTTTACTGTGCAAATTTTGTATATTTTTCACATGTTGTGGATATAGACTAAAACAAGGGAGAAATACTTTAATATCAGGAAAAACACAAAATATATCCCAACTAAATTTTGGAAATCAGATTTGCAATTCCATCATGCTATGATCTGCACTAAATTGTATATTAGGTGCTGGGTCACATTTAAAGATCCAAATTACTCTACTTTAAACTTCAAGGAGCTTGCAATTTACCACTAGCCCCTGTGGCAGGAGGGGAAGATAACTTGAGCCTGGGAAGGGCTGAGAAAATTCTACTGTCTGATCACATAGTTAGAATCTTACCTCTGGTTCCACTGGCTTCACTTTATTTTACTTAAAATGACTCATCCCAACTCTGATTTTAATGATGTACGTCTAACACCAAACATCAATTGTTCTTATTCATCTACAGCTTGACAGTGAACATTCACATAAATGTGGGCAAAAATAAACAAGACTTAATGAATGTTAAAATTGAACCATGACCTTGAAGGGCTCGCACAATATTGATAATTTGTCATTTTTAAGTTGAGCAGTATTGTAATATAAGCGAGAGGATCTGTACATGGAAGACAACCTGCCATTCCTAAGATACACCATTTGATAGTAACAATATTTAATACACAACCACACCAACCTAATGACAACCATTTGTTTCCTTGAAGACAATTGAAGACAAGAATGCTCCTTTGTGGGAATACTTGTTACTATGAAATTAGTTTTCTCTAAATTGTTGTTACTTACTTTTTTATTAGTAACTGACATTTATTACATGATGATCTATTCATTCATGAATTGCATGCTGATTTATTAAGACATGCTGTATTGAAAGCCTTTAGTGTAGTCACTGTCCTTAATGCTCCAAGTTTCCTTCTCATTACATGCAATATACATTTAGAATTACCCTAAAAGTAAAATTCATGTATAGCATTCTTTATGCTATAAGACACTTCAAAGCAAAATCAGTTAAACTCAGTAAGTTATTATTTAAAAGTGACTTTGAACTCAGGATTATATCAAGCAAGAGAGCCTGAATATAAAAACAGGTTAAAAGTGGTTATCTGCCAGTTGGAGTTTACTCTTACATTGGAAAACAAATTTTATATATAAATATATATATAAAACATATAATCATGTCTTTGAATTTACATATGAAAACATGTAAAATTTATATGTGAAAGCATATATGTGTGCACATGTATATGTATTATACATCCTGATATATATATATATGCATGTACATATATGCTGAACAGTTCAAGATACTGAAAATGTTTTTATTCCAAAGTCAGTAAAACAGGGTTGTATTTTTTTCCCCTGTACTGTATTTTGAAAGGGAGTGTCATGCCAAGGTTATAGCAATGCAATTGTTTGCTTCTAGTAGAGTCTTCAAATTTACGTCTTTCATCTTTCGCCATTGAAAATCTAAATGAAATACTTTAATTATAAATTTTATGAAAATGTTTTCTTAAAAAATATGCAGAAAAATGTTTTCGTTATTGTAGTACTTTCTCTTTTGCAAAATTTTCTTCACAACAAATGTGATGTGTGAATCTTATACTTTTCACTTTGAATGCTAACATGTCTGAGGCAAAACTTCCCATCAGACTTAGAATTCATTAATCATTCATAGCACAACTAGCTTTCATCACCTCCTCCACAAATTCAGGATACTGGTATGGAAACATAAATTGAAAGATGTCCAGGTCATAAATTAAAAGCTTAAACTAATGATATATTTCTAATGATTTCATTAATCATAACATTTCCACATTGGAAGAAACTTTTAATCTAGTCTCAGCTCCCAAACAAAGCAATAATTTCTTTCAGAACATTTCAGATATATTGCTATTTAGCTTTTGCCTGAACTGCTTCACAAAATAATCGTTTCCAATATTAGGTATCTCAAATTGTTAGGAATTGTTTAAGATCTCTCTTGAAATTTCTTCCCGAATGTCCTAATCCTAACATCCATACAATGTTCTTCAACTGCTAAGTCAATAATTATGTTCTCTTTTGTGCCTCTCACTCAGGCTAAACATATCCTGTATCCTTAAGCATTCATTGTGTGAAGCAAGTGCTTTACAAATCCTTTCAATGTCTCCCTTAGTTAGCTTCCTGGGATTATATTTTAACTGCATATTATCTTTATAACATGGAATTTGTAACTCAACCTAATACCTTGGTTTTGATAGATTGTGGCTTTAGATCACGAAAAAACTATTACTTCCCTTTTTTTGTACTTGTATTTGCGCAATATAAACTTTCACTGTTTTTAACGAGTTTTTTATATTGCTGATTCTCAGTGTGCTTTGAGTCAAAATAAACCCTTTCACATAAACTTATGTTAAGCCAAGATTCTGCCCTACTATGGTTCATAGATGAGAAGTGAACAAAGCGAGAACAAAGAACAATGTGACAGAGTTTAAAGAAGGAAGAGAGGTTCACAGCATTAAGTATAGCAGGGAGAGTGAGGAAGATGAGGACTGGAGAGAAAGAGAAGACTTAGCCCATGGCGGTAGGTACTCACTCAACCTTAAGATAGTAACTTTAGTAGAAATGAGGTAAAATAATATGGATATTAAAAGATTAAGAAGTGAGTAGAGTATAAGAAAGTCCTTCAAGGATTTGGAATATGAAAGGGTGAAAGGAAACAGTTCTGAGGGGAAAAATGCTCAAGTGGTTTGTTTTTGTTTTGTTTTTCTTTTTCTTAGGATAGAAGAAATAGGCAATAAGTTTTTGGCTAAGGAAAAGGAGCTAGGGATTATTCTCTCCTCTTTTATAGTTAGAGTTATTTGTATACTGACATTCTCTGTGCACCATCATAAGCATCCTGAGAGCAGGACTGATTCTCATTAGGCTTTTTAGTGCTCTGTTATTCACATCACAGGAACTACAAAGTTATTTGTTGAATTGCATTGTGTCATTTCTCCAAATGGGCAGGTTTCTTTAGAGATTACTCCAAGTAATTCTGCAATCACAGTAGCAACTTTATTTCATTTTCTTGTTTGGTTTCTTCCTTTTTTATGGCTACATAGTATTCCATGATGTATATGCGCCACATTTTTTTAATCCAGTCTATTATTGATGGATATTTGGGTTGGTTCCAAGTCTTTATTATTGTGAATAGTATGGCAATAAACATACGTGTGTGTGTGTCTTTATCATAGAATGATTTATAATCCTCTGGGTATATGCCCAGTAATGGGATTGCTGGATCAAATGGTATTTCTAGTTCTAGATCCTTGAGGATCGCCACACTGTCTTCCACAATGGTTGAACTAATATACACTCCCAACAACAGTGTAAAAGCGTTGATATTTCTCCACAACCTCTCCATTATTTGCTGTTTCCTGACTTTTTAATGATCACCACTCTAACTGGCATGAGATGGTATCTCATTGTGGTTTTGATTTCCATTTCTCTAATTACCAGTGATGATGAGCATTTTTTCATATGTCTGTCAGCTGAATAAATGTCTTCTTTTGAGAAGTGTCTGTTCATATCCTTTGCCCACTTTTTAATGGGGTTGTTTGTTTTTTCTTGTAAATTTGTTTAAGTTCTTTGTAGATTCTGGATATTAGCCCTTTGTCAGATGGATAGATTGCAAAAATTTTCTCCCATTCTGTAGGTTGCCTGTTCACTCTGATGATAGTTTCTTTTACTGTGCAGAAGCTCCTTTGTTTAATTAGATATCATTTGCCAATTTTAGCTTTTGTTGTCATTGCTTTTGGTGTTTTAGTCATGAAGTCTTTGCCCATGTCTATGTCCTGAATGATATTGCTCAGGTTTTCTTCTAAGAATTTTATGGTCCTGTGTCTTATATTTAAGTCTTTGATCCATCTTGAGTTGATTTTTGTATAAGGTGTGAGGAAGGGGTCCATTTTCAATTTCCTGCATATGGCTAGCCAGTTTTCCCAACACCATTTATTAAATAGGGAATCTTTTCCCCATTGTTTGTGTGTGTCAGGTTTGTCAAAGATCAGGTGGTTGTAGCTGTGTTTCTGAGGCACCTGTTCTGTTCTATTGGTCTATATCTCAGTTTGGTACCAGTAACATGCTGTTTTGGTTACTGTAGTCTTGTAGTATAGTTTGAAGTCAGGTAGCATGATGCTTTCAGATTTGTTCTTCTTGTCCAGGATGGCCTTGGCTATGCAGGCTCTTTTATGGTTCCATATGAAGTTTGAAGTAGTTTTTTTCCAATTCTGTAAAGAACATTCAAAGCAGGGTGTAGAGGGAAATTTATAGCACTAAATGCCCACAAGAGAAAGCAGGAAAGATCTAAAATTCACGCCCTAACATCACAATTAAAAGAACTAGAAAAGCAAGAGCAAACACATTCAAAAGCTAGCAGAAGGCAAGAAATAACTAAGATCCAAGCAGAACTGAAGGAAATACAGACACAAAAAACCCTTTAAAAAATTAATGAATCCAGGAGCTGGCTTTTTTAAAAGATCAACAAAATTGATAGACCACTAGCAAGACTAATAAAGAAGAAAAGAGAGAGGAATCAAATAGACGCAATAAATAATGATAAAGGGGATATCACCACTGATCCCACAGAAATACAAAATACCATCAGAGAATACTATAAACACCTCTATGCAAATAAACTAGAAAATCTAGAAGAAATGGATAAATTCCTCGACACATACACTCTCCCAAGACTAAACCAGGAAGAAGTTGAATCTCTGAATAGACCAATAACAGGCTCTAAAATTGAGGCAATAATCAATAGCTTATCATCCAAAAAAAGTCCAGAACCAGATGGATTCACAACTGAATTCTACCAGAGGAACAAGGAGGAGCTGGCACCATTCCTTCTGAAACTATTCCAATCAATAGAAAAGGAGGGAATCCTCCCTAACTTATTTTATGAGGCCAGCATCATCCTGATACCAAAGCCTGGCAGAGACACAACCAAAAAAGAGAATTTTAGACCAATATCCTTGATGAACATTGATGCAAAAGTCCTCAATAAAATACTGGCAAACCGAATCCAGCAGCACATCAAAAAGCTTATCCACCATGATCAAGTGGGCTTCATCCCTGGGATGCAAGGCTGGTTCATCATACACAAATCAATAAATGTAATCCAGCATATAAACAGAACCAACGACAAAAACCACATGATTATCTCAATAGATGCAGAAAAGGCCTTTGACAAAATTCAACAACTACTTCATGCCAAAAACTCTCAATAAATTTGGTATTGATGGGATGTATTTCAAAATAATAAGAGCTATCTATGACAAACCCACAGCCAACATCATACTGAATGGGCAAAAACTGGAAGCATTCCCTTTGAAAACTGGCACAAGACAGGGATGCCCTCTCTCAACCCTCATTCAACATAGTGTTGGAAGTTCTGGCCAGGGCAATCAGGCAGGAGAAGGAAATAAAGGGTATTCAATTAGGAAAAGAGGAAGTCAAATTGTGCCTGTTTGCAGACGACATGATTGTATATCTGGAAAACCCCATCATCTCATCCCAAAATCTCCTTAAGCTGATAAGCAACTTCAGCAAAGTCTCAGGATACAAAATCAATGTACAAAAATCACAAGCATTCTTATACACCAATAACAGACAAACAGAGAGCCAAATCATGAGTGAACTCCCATTCACAATTGCTTCAAAGAGAATAAAATACCTAGGAATCCAACTTACAAGGGATGTGAAGGACTTCTTCAAGGAGAACTACAAACCACTGCTCAATGAAATAAAAGAGGATACAAACAAATGGAAGAACATTCCATGCTCATGGGTAGGAAGAATCAATATTGTGAGAATGGCCATACTGCCCAAGGTAATTTATAGATTCAATGCCATCCCCATCAAGCTACCAATGACTTTCTTCACAGAATTGGAAAAAAACTACTTTAAAGTTCATATGGAACCAAAAAAGAGCCCGCATCACCAAGTCAATCCCAAGCCAAAAGAACAAAGCGAGAGGCATCACACTACCTGACTTCAAACTATACTACAAGGCTATAGTAACCAAAACAGCATGGTACTGGTACCAAAACAGAGATATAGACCAATAGAACAGAACAGAGCCCTCAGAAACAATGCTGCATATCTACAACTATCTGATCTTTGACAAACCTGACAAAAACAAGAACTAGGGGAAGGATTCCCTATTTAATTAATGGTGCTGGAAAAACTGGCTAGCCATATGTAGAAAGCTGAAACTGGATCTCTTCCTTACACCTTATACAAAAATTAATTCAAGATGGATTAAAGACTTAAATGTTAGACTAAAACCATAAAAACCCTAGAAGAAAACCTAAGCAATACCATTCAGGATATAGGCATGGGCAAGGACTTCATGTCTAAAACACCAAAAGCAATGGCAACAAAAGCCAAAATGGACAAATGGGATCTAATTAAACTAAAGAGCTTCTGCACAGCAAAAGAAACTACCATCAGAGTGAACAGGCAACATACAGAATGGGAGAAATTTTTGCAATCTACTCATCTGACAAAGGGCTAATATCCAGGATCTACAATGAACCCAAACAAATTTACAAGAAAAAAACAAACCCTATCAAAAAGTGGGCAAAGGATATGAACAGACACTTCTCAAAAGAAGACATTTATGCAGCCAAAAAACACATGAAAAAATGCTCATCATCACTGGCCATCAGAGAAATGCAAATCAAAACCACAATGAGATACCATCTCACACCAGTTAGAATGGCAATCATTAAAAAGTCAGGAAACAACAGGTGCTGGAGAGGATGTGGAGAAATAGGAACACTTTTACACTGTTGGTGGGACTGTAAACTAGTTCAACCATTGTGGAAGTCAGTGTGGCGATTCCTCAGGGATCTAGAACTAGAAATACCATTTGACCCAGTGATCCCATTACTGGGTATATACCCAAAGGATTATAAATCATGCTGCTATAAAGACACATGCACACGTATGTTTATTGTGGCACTATTCACAATAGCAAAGTCTTGGAATCAACCCAGATGTCCAACAACAATAGACTGGATGAAGAAAATGTGGCACGTATACACCATGGAATACTATGCAGCCATCAAAAATGATGAGTTCATGTCCTTTGTAGGGACATGGATGAAACTGGAAACCATCATTCTCAGCAAACTATCGCAAGGACAAAAAACCAAACACCGCATGTTCTCACTCATAGGTGGGAATTGAACAATGAGAACACATGGACACAGGAAGGAGCATATCACACACTGGGGACTGTTGTGGGGTTGGGGGAGGTGGGAGGGATAACATTAGGAGATATACCTAATGGTAAATGATGAGTTAATGGGTGCAGCACACCAACCTGGCACATGTATACATATATAACAAACCTGCACATTGTGCACATGTACCCTAAAACTTAAAGTATAATAATAATAAGATTTAAAAAAAAAGAAAATCTACTTTGATACCACGTTTACAAAAATAAAAAAAGAAATTGGTGGTGGCTTGATGGGTATGGCATTGAATCTGTAAATTACTTTGGACAGTATGGCCATTTTGATAACATTGGTCCTTCCCATCCATGAGCATGGAATGTTTTTCCATTTGTTTGAATCCTCTCTTATTTCCTTGAGCAGTGGTTTGTAGTTCTCCTTGAAGAAGTCCTTCACATCCCTTGTAAGTTGGATTGTTAGGTGTTTTATTCTTCTTGTAGCAATTGTGAATGGGAGTTCACTCATGATTTGGCTCTCTATTTGTCTATTATTGGTGTATAGGAATGCTAGTGATTTTTGCACGTTGATTTTGTATCCTGAAACATTGCTGAAGTTGCTTATCAGCATAAGGAGAATTTGGGCTGAGTCAATGGAGTTTTCTAAATATACAATCATGCCATCTGCAACAGAGACCATTTGACTTCCTCTCTTCGTGTTTGAATACCCTTTATTTCTTTCTCTTGCCTGATTGACATGGCCAGAACTTCCAATACTATGTTGAATAGGAGTGGTGAGAGAGGGCATACTGGTCTTGAGAGAACTCCAATATTAAGAAGTGAAAGAGAGAACAATTAAAGTAGTTTGAAAATAAATAGCCAGTGAGACAAAGAGAAAGCAAACAAGAGAGTGTAACACCCTGAAAGTCAAAAGGAGAAAGTGTGTAAGGAGAAGGAAATGATCTAAAGTATCATATACTTATCATGATTCAAGTAACATGACTGGAAACTGATCATTAGATTCAGCAACTTTGAACTCATGGGTGACTTCAAAATAAAGTTCCAGAATATCTAGCTCTTGCATACCCTTTGTGTTTATTCTCATTTGTTGTTGTTGTTTTAGACAGGGTCTCAATCTGTCACCCAGACTGGAATGCAGTGGTGCGATCTCAATCTCAGCTCGTTGAGGCCTTGACCTCCTAGGTTAAAGGGATCCTCGTTCCTCCGCCGCCCGTACTAGAGCTGGGACCAGGCACACTACGTCCACGTAATTTTAATATATTTAGTAGAGGCATGGGTTCTCCATGTTGTCTAGGTTTGTCCGGAACTTCTGGGCTGAGGTGATCAGCTGCCTCTGCCACCGAAAGTGCTCAGATTACAGTTGTGATCCAGGGTGACTGGCAAACTTTGTGTTTACTCCGTGAAGCCCAAATATGTGAGACAGGTCTCAGTCAATTTAGGAAATTTATTTTGCCAAAGTTAAGGACACGCACCTGAGACACAACCTCAGGAGGTCCCCAAGATATGCAGGGCACATCAGTATATGTAAGGGGTACATTGGTTCTGTTTGGAAAGGTGGGAGAACTCGAAGTGGGGATGGGGCTTCCAGGTCATAGGTAGAGAAGAGACAAATGGTTGCATTCTTTTGAGTTTCTCATTAACGTTTTTAAAGAAGGCAATCAGATACACATTTTTCTTAACGAACAGAAGGATGACTTTGGATTCTGTCTGTCCTTTGTCCACAAGGAAATTCCTTGTGAGGGAGGTATGTAGCTTTTTAATTTGTGTAGCTATCATCTTTAGGAATAGAAGAGGAGGCAGCTTTGCCCTAAGCAGTGTACAGCTTGGCTTTTCCCTTTCGCTTAGTGATTTGGGGGTTCCAAGATTTATTTTTCTTTCACATCTCTTATAGTCTCTTTGAAATTGTGGTTATGTGGCTTCTATTCTGCCTTTCAAGGACTATAAATTAGTATTCTCATCAATATTAGTATTTGCATTATTCACAAATTTATTTCACAAATCTGATGAGCACCAACTATATTCCAGGCTCTGTGTTAAGCCTTTTACATACTGCACTCAATAAGAAATGTATGAGATTACCTTCAAGGAGCTTATAGTCTGTGGCAGAAATTGCTCATTTGTTGCCTACCCAAATGCCATTTTCCTCATATTTCTTGCATATAGAAACTTTTTTTCAGATATTGGGCAGCCTTGTGTTGGACTTCTTCTAAATTACCAGAAGAGAATGCTGAATAGTTATAGCTCACTATAGTATTCCTTTAGCCAGCGACTATTTAAAGAATGGGCATATCATCCAAGGGTGATCATGAGACTTGAGGAGAAGTCTAGGAATAAACTTCTTTTTTTAAACAGCCTCATTGTCTGGGATGGTCCCTGAGGTTCGTTGTCTCACAGCCATCATGGAAAACTAGGATGCAGACACACCAGGAGTAAGGTTAAGAGCGGAAGTTTAATAGGTGAAGGAAAGGGAATAGCTCTCTCTGCTGCAGAGTGAAGGGTCCCAAATGGGTTTTCTGCTTCTGTGGTGAAATGAAGGGGATTTTATAGATGAGCTTGAGGAGGCAGTGTCTGACATACATAGGACACAAAAGATTGACTGGATCAGGTGTGTTATTTGCATAAGGTGCAAAAAACTGGTTAGGGATAGGTAGGCCATTTGCATAGAGCACAAAAATCTGGCCACCCTCACCCCAATCTTTTATTATGCAGATGGGCTCTCTGCCTGGCCTGCACCATGTTGCCTGTTTCTTTACTGTACATGTGGTGACAAAGAAAAGGGAAGATGGAGTCTCCATGTTGAACATACATGGTTCCCAGGTAGCCTTTTTCTATTGGCACACCTGCCAGCATTCACCTGTGCAAGCTTCCAGCTTGCTTATCTGTTTGCAGCTCAATTTTTTAGGCTGCTCTTTGTTAGAAAAAAAAATTTCTTGTGCTGCTTTTTGTTAGAAAGGAAGACTTGCTGAGGACTTTTTTAACCTCATTATCTTCCTAAATATATTTTTTTATATCCCCTGTATCAATATGAGAAAATGGTGAAACTTGTTCTAAAAGCAAGGTATAAGCACATATCATTTATGACAGTTTATATAACTCACCTGTTGGTTATCTTACCTTAAAGAGGGAATCATATACAGGGATTCCTGTCACACATGCAGCCTCCATTTGAATAATAAATTCTAGTATTAACCTGGAAATATAAAAGTTAGATTAAAGTTTATGTAACTTCAAAAGCTAGTTTAAATAATAAATTTATGCTATTATCCTCAGCTGAGGTAAGTAACAACATAAAAGCAGATTTGTTAATTCAAAATTAACATCTGTAAAATCTGTTATGGACCTGCAAGACAAAGTGAATGTATTGGGAAAGGCCACATACCAAAAGTAAATAAACATCAAAAGAGAAAAAGAAAACATAAGGAAGAAGTAGAATAGCAAGATAAGAGAATGCTGAAAAGAACTACAAATTTAACATGACTTATTTTCAATGCTATTATTATATATTCATTCTTTAGATGTAAAATAGCTGAGATTGAGACCCTTCTCATGGGAAGTGACTATTTTTTTTTTTTGAATACATACAATTCAAGTTCGAGTTTAAGGCTCCTCTTTCAACAAGAAAGCTTTTTCATTTGTAAAACAGCTTATCACTTTCAGGAAGCCTACAAAAGTCATGTGATATCTTTTCTTAGTGTAACGACAGTGGTAGGATAAAAAAAGTTAAAGAAAATTTATTATTTAGTTTCACTCTCCAGAAATTTCCATCTTGATTATGTTAAATGTAAATATATTTTTAGATTTTAAGGTAAATATTTTTAATCTTCAGCAATTTCTAAAGACTTGTAGTAAACATCAAGTTAACAGCAATTGATCACAGTGTATAATTACTTATAAGAACAAATTCACTATCTGAATTCATGGAATCAGATGGAAAGAACTGAGCAATTCATAAGGTGATATACCTAAAAATAACAAAATTTAGTAGGGAAAAAGAACAGAAATTTTGAAAGACTGTATTTTAAATAAGAAAAGGATATGTTTACATTCAATTTCTGTCCTTTTAAAATGATTTCATAGGCTAGGCGCAGTGGCTCATGTCTGTAATCCCAGCACTTTGGGAGGGCAAGGCAGGTGCATCACGAGGTCAAGAGATTGAGAACTTCCTGCCCAACATGGTGAAACCCCGTCTCTACTAAAAATACAAAAATTAGCTGGGTGTGGTGACACACCCCTGTAGTCCCAGTTTGTCTGGAGGCTGAGGCAGGAGAATGGCTTGAACCCAGGAGGTGGAAGTTGCAGTGAGCCTAGATCATGCCACTGCACTCCAGCCTGGTGGCAGAATGAGACTCCGTCTCAAAATACAAAACAAAAACAAAAACAAAAACAAAAAAATTCATAGTTCTCATTCTCATTTCAAAACTTTATTGATATTAGAAGTCCTTATAGAAATTTGAAAGAGAAAAGCAAAAGCATTCTAGAGTATCTCCTACTTAAACATGACTAAACTAATTACCATTCTGCCTTGCAGCTGACACCCAACTTCTTGACTACTCAAGTCAACATTGGCGGAATTCAGGAGAAAATAGGATGAAGGAGTAGTAATGATCTTACCTAGTTCTTTCTCAGGGACAAGATAAATGACATTTTGTATGTTATTTACTTGCTATGTGTTTCCAATTATCATACAAAAATCACTCAAATTTTATAAGTACATTTTTAATGTAGACCTATTTGTGTTAAACAAATTGAGTTATTGAAAATTGCACAAGACACTATAAAATTTTTGTGAAAAGACTATTCCATGTAGAAAGGAGTGCCTCTCAGATAGATATCCTAATTAAATATTTTTGACTAATTCTGAAAAGGCATCGAAACTGAATACAGTCAAATTGATTTGGTCAATTCCCCCACATGTAGGAAGTCATTTTTTCCATCTCACAAAGGAACTGAGAGATATATTCAATTTAAGTGAAAGGTGGAAATGAGTCTGGAATTTTTTTTTTTTCTTGACAGAGTTTTGCTTAACTCTTATTGCCCAGGCTGGAGTGCAATGGCACAATCTTGGCTCACTACAACTTCTGCCGCCTGGGTTCAAGTGATTCTCCTGCCTCAGCCTCCCGATTAGCTGGGATTACAGGCATGCACCACCATGCCTGGCTAATTTTGCATTTTTAGTAGAGATGGGGTTTCTGCATGTTGGCCAGGCTGGTCTCGAGCTCCCAACCTCAGGTGATCCACCAGCCTCAGGCTCCCAAAATTCTGGGATTACAGGCATGAGCCACCGTGCCTGGCCATGAGTCTGGAATTAATGGGTACCTAGAAACTCAGAAGTTTAATCAACTCAATGAGCACTTTGATTACCATTGCAGTTTGATTGACAAATGAATGAATGAGTTATTTTGGTCAAGCCTTGCACTAATTACATCACTTTCTGTTTCATTTTGTATCTATGTGAATTAATACTAGATAATTAATTTTCAGTGGAAATGCATTAGCAACACTTAGAGAAATATCCTTCAGTGCAACTAGGGAATCCCACAATCTTCCTGACAAAAAAAAAAAAGAATTTAAATGAAGAATAACAAATATAATCATGTATATTTATAAACAGAAAAGGAGTCCTGAGTGTCTTTTGAAATATAAATACCAGAAATTCTAGTTTTGCAGAAAATTTAATGTCTATGTGGTTTGAAGGATTTAACAACTGTTAAAGTAACCAGTATTTCAGAGGATATGGGGGAAAGTAAACCAGCTTTTTCATTGTGCTGCTTCAGGAGGGCTAATAAAATAGAAACAACAAAAGCACTTTTAGAATATGATTCCAATGCAGTGGTAGTATGTGACTCATTTTATTGAACAATTTAAGTGTGATAGCCAGAAGGAAGAGTGAAAATTTCTGTTTAAATGGTCAGTCCTAAAGGTTAGTATAAAAGGAAAACAGGGAAGAAAACTCAGAGATAGGTCAGAGGATAGATATTTAGGACTTTTTTCTATTATCTCCCAAGCCTACATACATAGTAATTTTATTTAATTGCTCTTCAATGTTTATAAGAATCTTAGTCACAACACATCAACAATAAAGACAATGGAAAAGAATATTTGTCTACAGATACACACGCAGATGCACATACATACATACACACACACATATAACTGAATTAGTAATTGTTTTATAAATTGAATGTTTGCATCTTCCCTAAATTCATAGATCGAAGCTGTAATTCCAGGTCTCACTTGGAGATGAGGCCTTTGGGAGGTAATTATGTTACATGATGTCAAGGGGGTGGAGACCCTATAATAAGACTAGTGTCCTACACAAAAAGAACATTAAGGAAGACAGTTGTCTAGAAGCCAGGAGGAGGGGATTCACCAAGAACCAAATATGGTCTTGAATTTTTCAGCATCCAGAACTATAAGAAATAAATGTCTGATATTTAAGCTCCTCAGTCTATTGCATTTTGTTACAGCAGACCACACTAAGTCAGTAATACTTATAAAACTTGAGTTTCTCCTCCACATAATTTGTTTGTGTGGAGTGAAATAAGTTTTTAGAGGAATACAAACAACACAACTAAAATGCTTTAGACCTGAGTTCTACGACTATTATTGACCTGTACATATAATTTAACATTATTTATTTATATTTTTATTTCACTTTTCTGTGAAACATATTGTACTTAGATAAATTTTAAAGTATCTTCTTGCTTTTTAAAAATTATTTGATATTATGGGAACCATTGATAGAAAAATGAATTAGTTTTTTTTAAATTCCTAGGTACAATAGAATATGCTGGCTTGAGTTTGAACAAAAAAGTTTCACAAATTTTGAACAAATTTTCTCACCAAAAATCATAGTTAGTTATAATTTGCTTCATTTTTTTCTTTTATTATACTTTGTACATATAACTATATATGGCAAGTATTAAGGCATTAAGGGGGTTAATAAATAACATATCTATGTTTACTTTTCAAGTTTGCAACTATTGAACTTCATCAAGGATAAAGCTGCTTAAAGCAAAAGGCTTTGATCTGTGGCCAAACTAGCCTTCTGTTATAACCTGCCCATGCCAACATCCTGACTCCTTACCCTTCTTACGTTACTCAGTTACATAATGTACCTGAGGTAAAAAATCTGTTTGTAGACAAGACACACATTGCCGCACAGAGTCTATGGAAATGAGGGCAGCAAACAAAGCAAATTAAGTTCATATCTTCTGCAGACTTTACTAGATTACCTCTAGCAAGAGATGTGTTTCAATAAATGTCATTAAACAATCAGCAAACTTTTTAAATAAGGCAGTGATTGAGACAAATGGCTAGCAGTGCTCCTCTAGTAGATATCACTTGACATGAAAACATGAGGAGTGGATAAGTATTCCATATCTTCTGCAAGCAATAGGAATTCTTACATTGGGATCCACCTTCAATATGCTCATGAGCATTCTGTGCATGTGTGTGCACATGAGTGCATGCATTTTTCTGGGAGTGTGTGCAGAGCCTTTGTTATAGTCTCAGTGGAGTCAGTGGTCTGAAAATACACAATCCACAGATATAGACCATTGAATTGGGCTATTTATCTTGTCATCCAGTAAAATAAATAGTGGGAATGAATTTATTTCCTCACTGAAACCGAATGTAAAGGTCAAAATTTTCAGTTATTTTGATATAAACTAGCAATAGATTCAGTATACATCTAAGTATTTGTCTTTAAATTTCTTTAGTTGATTTCAGGAACATGTACATCTTATGTCATATGTTAACTCTTTCCCTAAATTGGTAATGTACCCTGCATCTCACAGAGTGGAGCATCATTATTACGGTAGAAGTTGTTCAGCTAGATCTACCCATAAACATTAACATGAGCTCATCTTTATAGTAAGTTTAAACCAATACTCTTTGTTAATTCTTTAAGTGAATAATAAATAACAAGTATAAGAGGTGGCATAGAAGGGATTTGGAAAGAATAATGGAAGTTGAAGGAGGTTCCAAGATGGCTGAATAGGAACAGCTCCAGCCTAGAGCTCCCAGCGTGAGTGATGCAGAAGACAGGTGATTTCTGCATTTCCAAATGAGGTAACAGGTTCATCTCACTGGGACTTGTTGGACAGTGGGTACAGCCCAGGAAGCATGAGCCAAAGCAGGGCAGGGCATTGCCTCACTGGGGAAGTGCAAGGGGTTGGGGAATTCCCTTTCCTAGCTAAGGGAAACTGTGACAGACAGTACCTGGAAAATCGGGACACTCCCACCCTAATACAGTGCTTTTCCAATGGTCTTAGCAAATGGCACACCAGGAGATTATATCCCACACCTGGCTAAGAGGGCCCGCGCCCATGGAGCCTCACTCACTGCTAGCACAGCAGTTTGAGATCAAACTGCAAGGCAGCAGTGAGGCTGGGGGAGGGGCATCCACCATTGCTGAGGCTTGAGTAGGTAAACAAAGTGGCTGGGAAGCTTGAGCTGGTTGGAGCCCACTGCAGCTCAAGGAGGCCTGCCTGCCTCTGTGGACTCTACCTCTGGGATCAGGACATAGCTGAACAAAAGGCAGTAGAAACTTATGCAGACTTAAACGTCCCTGTCTGACATCTTTGAAGAGAGTAGTGCTTCTCCCAGCATGGAGTTTGAGATCTGAGGATGGACAGACTGCCTCCTCAAGTGAGTCCCTGACCCCCGAGTAGCCCAATTGGGAAACACCTCCCAGTAGGGGCTGCCTGACACCTCATACAGCTGGGTGCCCCTCTGAGGTGAAGCTTCCAGAGGAAGAATCAGGCAGCAACATTTGCCGTTCTGCAATATTTGCTGTTCTGCAGCCTCTGCTGGTGATATCCAGGCAAACAGGGTCTAGAGTGGACCTCCAGCAAATTCCAACAGACCTGCAGCTGAGGGTCATGACTGTTAGAAGGAAAACTAACAAACAGAAAGGACTTCCACACCAAAACACCATCTGTACATCACCATCATCAAAGACGAAAGGTAGATAAAACCACAAAGATGGGGAGAAACCAGAGCAGAAAAGCTGAAAATTCTAAAAATCAGAGTGCCTCTTCTCCAAAGGAATGCAGCTCCTCACCAGCAATGGAACAAAGCTGGATGGAGAATGACAAAACCACAGTCAATATCATACAGAATGGGCAAAAATTGGAAGCATTCCCTTTGAAAATTGGCACAAGACAGGGATGCCCTCTCTCACCATTCCTATTCAACATAGTGTTGGAAGTTCTGGCCAGGGCAATCAGGCAGGAGAAGGAAATAAAGGGTATTCAATTAGGAAAAGAGGAAGTCAAATTGTCCCCGTTTGCAGATGACATGATTGTATATCTGGAAAACCCCATCATCTCAGCCCAAAATCTCCTTAAGCTGATAAGCAACTTCAGCAAAGTCTCAGGATACAAAATCGATATGCAAAAATCACAAGCATTCCTATACAGCAATAACAGACAAACAGAGAGCCACATCATGAGTGAACTCCCATTCACAATTGCTTCAAAGAGAATAAAACACCTAGGAATCCAACTTACAAGGGATGTGAAGGACCTCTTCAAGGAGAACTACAAACCACTGCTCAATGAAATAAAAGAGGACTCAAACAAATGGAAGAACATTTCATGCTCATGGGTAGGAAGAATCAATATCATGAAAATGGTCATAGTGCCCAAGGTCATTTATAGATTCAATGCCATCCCCATCAAGCTACCAATGACTTTCTTCACAAAATTGGAAAAAAACTGCTTTAAAGTTCATATAGAACTAAAGATTGCCAAGACAATCCTAAGCCAAAAGAACAATGCTGGAGGCATCACACTACCTAATTTCAAACTATACTACAAGGCTACAGTAACCAAAACAGCATGGTACTGGTAACAAAACAGAGATATAGACCAATAGAACAGAACAGAGCCCTCAGAATTAATACCACACATCTACAACCATCTGATCTTTGACAAACCTGACAAAACCACGAAATGAGGAAAGGATTCCCTGTTTAATAAATGGTGCTGGGAAAACTGGCTAGCCATATGTAAAAGCTGAAACTGGATCCCTTCCTTATACCTTATACAAAAATTAATTCAAGATGGATTAAAGACTTACGTGTTAGACCTAAAACCATAAAAACCCTAGAAGAAAACCTAGGCAATTCCATTCAGGACATGGGCAAGGACTTCATGACTAAAACACCAAAAGCAATGGCAACAAAAGCCAAAATTGGCAAATGGGATCTAATTAAACTCAAGAGCTTCTGCACAGCAAAAGAAACTACCATCAGAGTGAACAGGCAACCTAGAGAATGGGAGAAAATTTTTGTAATCTACCCATCTGACAAAGGGCTAATATCCAGAAACTACAAAGAACTTAAATTTACAAGAAAAAAATCAAACAACCCCATCAAAAAGTGGGCAAAAGATATGAACTGACCCTTCTCAAAAGAAGACATTTACGCAGCCAACAGACACATGAAAAAATGCTTATCATAACTTGCTGTCAGAGAAATGCAAATCAAAACCACAATGAGATACCATCTCACACCAGTTAGAATGGCAATCATTAAAAAGTCAGGAAACAACAGGTGCTGGAAAGGATGTGGACAAATAGGAATGCTTTTACACATTGGTGGGACTGTAAACTAGTTCAACCATTGTGGAAGACAGTGTGGTGATTTCTTAAGGATCTACGACTAGAAATACCATTTGACCCAGTGATCCCATTACTGGGTATATACCCAAAGGATTATAAATCTTGCTGCTATAAAGACACATGTACATGTATGTTTATTATGGCACTATTCACAATAGCAGAGACTTGGAACCAACACAAATGTCCAACAATGATAGACTGGATTAAGAAAATGTGGCACATACACACTATGAAATACTATGCAGCCATAAAAAAGGATGAGTTCATGTCCTTTGCAGGGACATGGATGAAGCTGGAAACCATCATTGTGAGCAAACTGTCACAAGGACAGAAAACCAAACACCGCATGTTCTCACTCATAGGTGGGAACTGAACAATGAGAACACTTGGACACAGGGTGGAGAACATCACACACTGGGACCTGTCATGGGGTGGGTGGAGTGGGGAGGGATAATGTTAGGAGAAATACCTAAGGTAAATGATGAGTTAATGGGTGCAGCACACCAACATGGCACATGTATACATATGTAACAAACCTGCACATTGTGCACATGTACCCTAGAACTTAAAGTATAATTAAAAAAAAACTTTATAATAACCAAAATTACTTCAGACTAAGAAGAAGGGAATTATACATTAGCTATGATGGTTTTCACAATTAAAAACAACCAGCCAAGATAAAACAAGTTGGATGAGGAAAAAAGGAACATAACACTTCACAAAAGTATACTGATGTTCATTTTTTTTTTGGGGGGGGGGACATTCTTAGTAAAAAATGATGTACCAGGGATTTAGAATATAAATAAAGAACATCTACATTAATCTATTAACACACACTCTTTTTGAAATTAGAAATAAAACAAAGGAAATTTTTAAAAACCAAATGATTAAATTACTTTTCTAACAACATAAGAGTTGATAACAAGCACAAAAGTCTTAACTTTGTGAATGAGCTTTGAGGCCAACACTAGCTTTGGCATATGTTAACTGTATGTCTTCATGCATGTTGTGTAATCTCTCCATGCCTCAATTTTTTAATCTACTTTATATTCCTCATTTTCTTCTCTCCTCCAGAGATTAGCACATATGGGTAGAGAAAATATCTATTATTATTAATGGGTAAACTTGGACACTCTTATTTCCAATTTTGTAATTTTCTCAAACATAAAAATTTAATATGGCTATTTTAAAATTCAATTATTTAATGTTGCTTGTTTTAAATAATGGAAAAGTATTGACTTACAGTTATTAAAGTCTTTTATTCTTAATAATCAAGTAAACAATTACCCTATTCTAACCATGGTAACAGAAAGGAAAGCAATCAATGTTAATATTGGTGCCTTTTTACTTTTTCTATTCTGTAATAATTTTATAAATCAGGTTTTAAAAATTTATTTTAATTATAAGAAAAGTATGTCTTCCACAAAAATTCAAACAATAACAGTGTCTATTCTGCATGTAATGGTAAAGATTCTATAATTTTAACATTAATTTATATGTCTGCTAAGGCTTTTTTATGTACCATTTATCAAGCTAGAGAATTCTCCTTAGCCAGGCCTTAGTGAACTGTTCTATTGTTTTAAATGTACTTTAAACTTTATTAGTCTTTTTGAAATACTTTTCTCTTTTATTTGTAAGTCTTATTAATTACATTAACAACTTTTTTGATGTTCAACGATTGTTACATTTCTCATATAAAACCTACAGTTCATGATGTGTTGTTCCTTCATTATACATGGTATAGCTAGATCGAATCTTTTCATACTTTATCATAATTCAGTTAGTACATTCTGTCTTTTCAAGTGAGATTAGCCTGTAACTTTTGCTTTTATGTCATTCTTGGAACCATAGTCATGCTGTTCTTAATTAACTGGGGACATTTTCCTCTTTTTCCTGCTCTAACGCAGTTTATTGGAAAGCAAAGGACTGATTGGTAGTCCTCACTGTTGAACACCTCGGGCTGATGCTCCTATTTTAGGTGAATGCAGCAATGTTTTCACTTTCTTCTATATTACTGCTCAAGTTTCCAATTTTTCTTGAGCTGAATTTTTATGAACATTTAAAAAAATCATATTTCTCATTTAGACATTCAACTTTATTGGTATAAAATTCCATATCATGTATATTACAATTAAAAATAAATGAAAACAAAATTCTGTTCTATAAGCATTTATGCTTTTCTTGTTCTTAATAGTGTACATTTGTGGTCTCTTTTTTTTCTTGATAAGCTTTGCCAAACCATTTATTTATACGTATTATTTAAGATCAGCTTTTTATTTCTTAATCAACTCTAATTAATTCATTAATTTCTGCCCTCATTTTTCTTTACTATTTGTGTTATACCATCTTTGTGTTTCTTTCATTGGTATTCTCCTAGTTTATTAAGTAAGAAATTTTTGTTCAATTATTTTAAAGCTTTCTTGCATTTCCACAAATGTATTGATGCTCTACCTATCTTTTTTCCCTGTTTATTGGATTTAATATGTAGGGTAGTCATAGAAATTTGTTTTCAATTTTAACTTCTACTTTGATTGACTCTTGAACACAAGAGCTATTTAAAAGACAGTTTTAAATTTTTCAAGTGGACAAAGGTTTTTAAAATTTACTTTTGTTTTATTTCTAATTGTATTGTTTGTGGGAAGTAAATGTGATTTTTGTGAATTTTGCATTTTGAAAATTGTAGAAATTTTCTTCTGGTTTACTAAGTGGTCACATTAAGTGAATAGCTCAAGTGAATTTTAAAACAATGTGTATTTTGTATTTAAGGCATACAAGGAAATATGTATCTCTGTATCTCCATCTATCTCTATTTTTACTTCTATATCTATGCATTGTAACTTAAGTTTTGTCTCAACATCGTGATTTCCTGAAAGAATATTTTTTAAATCTTCTATTATTATTTTGAATCATAAAATTTCACCTCTTAATTTATTCCATTTTCACTTTAAATATTTAAGCTGTGTTTTTAGGTGATGCTTTGTTAGGTTATATAAAGATTTGTTTTACCAGATCTTTGTGAATCAACGTGAAATATTCTACTACTTGTAAATAAGCGTTAAGTTAACATTAGGTGAACATTACCCCAGACACTCTCTATGAACAATTAGAAAATTAAAATGTATATGGGTGGTAAATATATAGACTGACAGAAACAGATAATTAACTTTTATCCGAGTGGTATATTATTCTTTATTTACTTTAACACATTTGGCTTTGAAGTTTATTTTTCTATTTTTTAATATTCTGAAATCTGAATAACTCCTCATTACCTTTTTCCTGGTATATCTTTTTGAAAATCCTGGATGATTAGTCTCACTCTGTTGATGTATGTTATGTATGTAGTTATGTAGTTGATGTACAGTTGTAGATTGTGTTTTGGTCTTATTAGATGTTTTATCTTGCTAATAACACATAGCTAGATATGTTTCCAAACCAATGTGTAAATGTATTCTCTTTTAATAGGAAAACTTAATATGTTTATGTGAGCATATTTACATTATTTTGATTGCTAATGTGTTTTCACTATTCCTACAATTTTATTTTATTTTATATTATAATGGTAAGCTTGAGTTCATTTTCTTTCCTTCCTTCCATCTTTCCTTCTTTTCTTTTCTTCCATAGTTTTATCTGTCTCATAATTATATAGTTAGATAATTCTAATTTTATATTATTAAGGCCTATAAAATTTATCATCTTTCTTGTGCTACAGTACCCATTTCTACAATTCTATTTTTATATTCTAATGTATTTTATGTTTTCCTCTAATTCTTTTACCGTAGTTGCCTTTGACTTTCATGAATTATTTAATTCACTTTTTTATTGGTTGTATTTTGCCATCTATAATTTTTTAAACACAATTTACAGGGCCCTTAATTATCAGGTTGAGACATATATATCTGTCATCCTTAATAATTCTGAAATTCAAAAAGTTCAAAAATTAAAAGGTGTGTTTGTGTTTATGTGTTTCTGTAATTTTAAACCAATATTATTTGGCAGCAAATTCTGACATAAACTGATGAAAAGCTATTTATAATATATACTTACTCTCTGAGTGTGAATATTAATAAGCTTTTCTGAAAGAATATTAATGTATGTGATAAGTCATTATGTGATCTTAGCCTACTGACAAGCTTATGTAATAATAATATAGATATAATTGTATGTCATAAGATTATATCATATAATCTTTCTAAAATCTGGCAAATTTTGAATTACAAAACATTCCTTTTAGAAAACAAATTTTGGGCCTATACACAAAGCAAGGTCTATACATATTTAGGGGTTAAAAAAAAGGAGACGAGGTAGAGTTGTTTTTTCTCAGAATTTTGTAGATACTGCTTTAATGTCTTTTGTTACTAAATTTTGGTATATCAAAGACTTAAGCAACTTATTCTAATTGATTTTTATCTTCTATGTGACTTATATTTTCCTGCCTGAATTTATGAAGAATTTTTTTAATCACTGGAATCCAATAACTTAAAGAAAGCATGTCTCAGTGTCTATCTTTCCACATAAGCATTATAGTAGTTAGCATTAGCTATATTAGAGTTAGCTATTAGCAGTGAGCCTATTTGATTCATACTTTCAGGTTTTTTTCCCTCATTTTAGAGAAATTTTTATTTTCTAAATATGGTTCAGTGATTCTGGAGTTTTTATGATCTATTTTTTGGTTTCTTAAATTTAGGAACAATAATCTTTATGTTGGATCATTTTTGCCTTTTTTAACTTATTTATTGTAATTATTTCACATTTCTTTTATTCCAGAAATTATTTGACTTTGTCTATAATCAGTATGTGTTGTCAATTTACATTTACTTATTATTTTTGTAAGGGTACACTGATTAACTCAACAGTTTCTATTTTCATTGCTGTCTGTTACTTTATTAACTTACGTATGAGTCCTTCATAACATTCACTGACTTTGTAAGTGCTTTTCTAGAGCAAACATCTACACAGGATTCCACTTTCCCATTTTTATGACTGTTTTCTTTTAGGATGGCTTCTTGACAGGTCTTTTGCATGTTATATCTTCTTCTCTCAAATTGTTTTGGTATGTGTGGTTTCTATGTCATTTTATTTTTTCATTTTGCTCATATTTCATGGGAAAGATTCATCCATCCATTTTGTCTAATTTAATGATGATAAAGTCTCAGTGATACTATCTCTAATTTTTGTTTACTTGTCTTCCTAACTAAGCTAGGGATTGAGGATTGTGTCCTATCTACTTTTTGGGAGCCTGAGGGTAAAGACAGTGAGTAGAAAAATCTCAGCAGTCTTTTGCCATTCTTACTTGAAGAATCTACTCTCTGTTTTAGATTTCTCTTTTTCAGGTCCACTTTTTTGTCTAAGTAATTTACTCCTGGAGGACTCTCCTCGCATGACTCGTTGCCTTCCTGGTTAAGCGGGAGTTCTGAACTATGGTCAGATCTCGTATTGTGTTTGTTGTTGTTGTTATCTTCTGAGATTCTTGGTGACAGAGGTCAGAATATTTGTTTTTAATTCCAGTCCTTCCTTCATTCCTTAGCTGCACTATTTGGGGCAACTCTTTTTGCCTTCCCTTGACTGTTTCTTCATCTTTAAAATTAGAATAACAATAGCATTTATTCATTTTCCATAACAAAGCTGAACGTGTCAATACAGGAAATACAAAGTGAGAATTAGCTATTTTATCAGTTGAGGAAATAAAAGTCCTGCCAACAGAGACAGATCTTTTTGTAATCAAACGGGATGAAAGAAAAATCAATGTATTTGTATGTAGCCTACAGGAGGCTAAAATGACAGGATGAAATTTCACATTTCATTTATTCAATGATATGGTTTAGCTTTGTGTTCCCACCCTAATCTCATCCTGAATTGTAATCTTCATAATCCCCATATATTGAGGGAGAGACCTGGTGGTAGGTGAATGTATCATGGGTGCAGTTTTCCCCATGCTCTTTTTGTGATAGTGAGTGAGTTCTCATGAGATCTGATGGTATTAAGTGTTTTTACAATTCCTCCTACACACACAATCTCCCTGCCATGCTGCCATGTATGATGTGCCTGTTTCTCCTTCTGACATGATTTTTTCTGACGCCTCCCCAGCCATGTGGAACTGTGAGTCAATTAAACTCTTTCCTTTATAAATAACTCAGTATCAGGGCAGTTCTTTATAGCACTGCAAGAACAAACTAATATGTACAGCAAACCAAACAAAAGACGCATAAAACTCATCTCTGTAGGAAACACATGGTTATTTCAGGAGACAGACTCCTAGGTTAACTGTGGAGGTATGTGATTACATTTGCAGGGCTGATAAGGTCCATGATTTTGGAGATATCTCTGCATTTTATAACTGGAGATGAGGTTTATCCAGGAACAGAAGAGATTGATTTACATTCTATAATGTAAATTAGGACTTAGGACCATTATGTTTTCAAGGAAACCCTTATAGTCACCAATATTATAATTATTCAACCCTGAATCTGTTCCTATTGAAATAGTGCTAGAGTGATAAAGTGGGATTATTTTCTACTTCTGCACTCCTTCTGGGATTTGAGAGTAGGAACAGAAGTCACACTAAGCCATATCACAGATTATGTATAAGATTTTTCACCATTCCTAGTTCATTGTTGATGAATTGTTTGTTTGCTATTAAAATTCTTTTTTCTTTCTTGCTTTTTGTTTTTGTCATTGAGAATTTTGTGATCCATCTTCACTCTGACATTTTACCTAGAATGCAACCTTTAATTTTTTTCTACTCTTAAATGTTATATATATATTCAATATTTTAAATTATCTTTCATAGTCACACTTGATATTTATAACCTCTTCTTTTTTTTTAGAATTTTATTTTATTTTTTTTTTATTTTATTTTTATTTTTTATTATACTTTAAGTTTTAGGGTACATGTGCACATTGTGCAGGTTAGTTACATATGTATACATGTGCCATGCTGGTGCGCTGCACCCACTAACTCGTCTAAAATAAGAAAAAATATAACCCTTAGATTCGTATTTAAAATAATTTTCAATGGGCTGAAAAGTATGTTCAAAAGAAATCAAATTAAGAGACCTTACTAAGCACATGTGCTGACATTTATATGTAAACAATTGTTTTAAAGGAAACTGCAACTGAAAATTGTTGCTCTTGGCAGCATGTGGCCCTTCACTGCTTTCATGGCTTTGTGCTGACATCTAAGTACCATTTAAAATGACCAGACCAAAAAAGCTGGTGCCTCTCTGTTGAAGGCCATGATCTGATCAGCCCATATTAACACAGAGAGCAATTGAGCATCTTGTGTTCTGTATTCAGTCACCTGTAACTTCTTATACCAACACATTTCTCACAATGATGCCATCTCTAATGAAATTTAGGAGGGAAAAAATCTGCAAATTAGTAATGTGCCACTTAAAACTTCCTGGTTACTCTTTTTATAACTTCCCTCTAGAAGCTCATCTTACTTTCTGTAATCATCAACAGAATGAATCACTTGCTCATTGTTAACCTTTTATCTCCATGAAGTGAAGGTGACAATGAAACACTTCTCTGTAAGACTTCCTTGGCAGCTGTCCCACAATGCCTGCTGGCCTGTTTTGATCCCATTCCATATGTCCACAATTTAAGTGGCAATACAACTCTCTCTGAATTGTATCATACAGCACTGCAGGGCACAATCCTGTGTTACCTGCTTTTGGAAATAATCTTTTCAGCCTATTTCAATTTTCACATTAAAGAACTGGCTGCCTGAAACTTGATGATTACAGACTTGTAAGGACAGGATCAAACAGAAGAAGATGCTAGCAGGAAGTCAAATGTGAGAGTATTATTCTGCATGTATAATAGAGTCTTTGTCCTCTTTTAATAAATTTGAAGCCATTGGTAGTATTATTGACTGAGACATATCACTGCAGTTAGCTATTCTTACAAACTAATTCTAATGAAATGCTTAAGTGTAATACCTTGTAGATAAGTAATTTCAAAGGAATATTAACAAATATTTATGAATTGTTGAAGAGTTTAAAGAGTTAATATATAAATGGATTCCTATCTGGGAAGCTTCCTATTTAATGAATCAAAAAGAAAAAAAAAAGTAGTCAATTATTTGTCTCTTGATTAAAGACTCTGAGTAATGATTTTCTTCTAGGAAGAATTTCATTTTCTTTAAATGAAATTAATGTTAGTGAACAGATATTGTTATCTTTTTGCTTAATCTGTTGTGTGTTTATTTTGTTTTTATCTGAAATTTTCTAGAATGACTGTTTGTTAATTCAGTAATTAATCAGTGATGCAACAATTTTTCCTGTCAGGTATTTATAAATGAGGAAGTAAAGATCCATTACTATTGTTAAGGATTTATTTTTCTGTTCTGTGAAAAACAATTTACTTGAAAGCAGTTTATTCGTAGTCACCACAGGTTAATAAACGTAAATTTTGACACTCAAAGCTGGTACATTAAAAGATTTGTTAGTTTAATATTTAAACCAACTATTTCACAGTGTATTTCCCTGTAAATATTTTGAATATATTTTAGTGTGCTAGTGATAGAAGAAGAAAATTATTCATTTAATGATCATACATTTTTTTCATGACCACAGCTGCAATTCATTTTAAATTTTGTCACTACAATATTTTAGTTCATTTTTTATTAATTCTTTTTTCCTGGTTACTATCAAATTCTGTTTGAAAAGTTACCTTAACTTCAAAGTTAATCAAAATGTTATTAGCATACAGCTGAATGCCTCTTTACAAACAAATCTTAATACCGTCTTTGGGGCCATGAGTACATATAGGTATGATAAAACTGCCTATCTATATATATTAATTTAAACATAGGATGCCCATCACTTTTACCCTCACAACTTGTATCAAGTTGAATTTCCTTAGTAGAGCCCTGTCTTAGTCTATTTGTGTTGTTATAACAAATTGCCACAGAATGGATAATTTATAAGTAACAGAAATTTATTTCTCACAGTTCTGAAGGCTAGGAAGTAGACCAAGGCACTGATATCTAATGAGGGCTTTCGTGCTCTGTCCTCACATGGTAGAAGAGCAGAAGAGAGCAACCCCACTTCTCCAAGCCCTTTTTATAATGGCGTTACTCCATTTCTGAGGGTGGAACCTTCATCACCAAAGCACTTCCCAAAGGTCCCACCTCCCAACACTGTTGCATTGGGGATACATTTTCTAATACATTAATTTTGAGTGACACTTTCAGTCCATAACAAAACTATTTAATTCAGGTTTTTTACAAGTGGTAGGCATTCAATAAGTTCTGGTTAAGTTATTGACTTGAACATGTGTGACAACATTGCCAAAGAGGCACTGAGCATAAATTCATTTAAAGACTTTTCCAAAAGTCATAACTAAGTCAGGTGTGCTATATTAACAGAAACTTACTGTTTGCCTATCAGTTTCTTACACTCGATTATCTTAACTCTAAGGATTTTTCATTGCATATTTATCCTCATACCCAACAAATGACAATATGAAGGTCTTCCCTGAAAACTTTTGCTTTGTCTGTACTAAATTTCATCAGTGTACCATCTTCTTTTATGATATATTGGAGCATTCAAGTGAAAGACTTACATCTTAATTTGACTTGTATATTTTCACGGAGCTTTTCATTACTCTTTAATAATTTGCCCAAAATCCATTATAGTGGGTCATGAGTAAAGCAACCTCCCTGTTCTCATAAAACTTGCTTTTTACCCCTATGTTTTCTTAAACACAAAAAAATAGTAAGTAGTAAAATATAAAACATATGAATGAAATAGAGAAAGGAAGACAACTAAAACCCTTTCATTAAACATTAACATGTAATATTAAAATATTATAGAAACCATAAAATAATAACAACAATAATAATAATGGCTGACATTTTTTGGAAGCTTATATACAGATTTACTGTATACAAAATAAACCATACCTGGATATTGCTATGGCCACTTAAGAGATACAAAAATCTGGGACCTAGAGAAAAGTGTGTTTGAGACTCTTGGATATTAAAAACTATAATTACAAAAATGAATTATTACCTAAGTAAAATTCAATATAAAGTTTTAAGCCTGACATTCAAATCTTTTTATAGTCTACTTTTTTAGTTATTATTAATTTTCTACTTGATATCTCACATGATGGTCATTTTCTTCATCACACTGAGCTAGTGTGTGATAGGCAGTGGGAAACCAATTTAGAAGTAAAAAGACTTGGAGTTTAGTTTCTATGGGACCTTGTGAAAGTTTCTAGGTTTCTAAATACTCCTTTGTGAAATGAGAAGATTGTACCATTCTCTGATGCGATTACCGAATCTTATTATCTATACATTTTCTTTCTCCTTTTTTTGTTGTTTTATATTTGTTTTGTTCTTCTTTAGCCTAAAATTTCACCTTAAAGTTTATCTCAATTTCTCCAATTTCCAACTCCTTTCATTTGTAGTGATATGAGCCTATATACTTTATTGTCATTTCAAGTTTCCCTTACTGTATGACCTGTGGCAGAGGAAAAGTAGCGGAGCAAGAAGTCAAATTGAAGCCAATGCTTATGTGTTTGGAGTGGGAAGTGAAGCATGAACTGTGAGATGAAAAAGATAGTGTATATAAAGTAGCAATAAAACCAAGTCAAAATCATGGACTAGCAAGCAGGAAATAATGAGATATGACTTCGGAGATTTCGAAGGACAGGATGGTGATTACAAAGGAAAATATGTTGTTGCGAGCCAGGTTCATGCTTATTGTAGAATTCCATTAGTTCTTAGGCTGATTCTGTGTGGTCTTCAACAGAAATTGAAAGTAATTTTGGTGAGGAGTCTTGTGTTACAGATAGTTAACTGGTTAGCTCTCAGCTCCCTGTAGGTCAGAGTCTCTAAGAAGCTTCCTAAAATACTCAATTTAAATTATTTTGTAAATGCTATTTTTTATACTTTTCAGTCTAATGAAATTTTTACTACTTTTTTTAGGGGTTTATTTAAACTTCTAATACTGAAATAATTCCAGACTTACAGAAAAATTACAAAGGTTTTGCAGAGGGCTGCCTTACAACCTTCTCCCAGCATCCCCCAATGTTGTTTAGTGCACTGGTTTTCTGGAATCCGGATTGTGCTAGCAGTGAAGTTGTCATGTGAAGAGACATGACACATAACTATTGGAAAATTAATAGAGAAGTTAACATTTGTACAATCATACTGAAAAAACTTACACATTTTGCAGGTTTTGCCCATCTTTTCTATACATCATTTTCTGTTTGAGAGTCTGATGCAGGTCATGTCTTCAGTTGTCATGTCTCCTTAGTATCCTTTAATCTTTGTACATTCCTCAGTCTTTCCTTGCTTTCATGCTTTTAAAGAGAACAGGCCAATTATTTTATAGATGTCCCTCAGTTTGGGTTTGTCTGATGTGCTTTCACAATTAGGTTGAGATTGTGAATTTTTGACATGTATACCACAGAAGAGTTATGCCATTCTCACAGTGTTATACAAAGAGTACATGAAGTTAATATATCATAACACTGTTGATGTTATCTTTGATCAGTTGGTTAAGATAATGTCAACTCTGTTTTTCTACTGTACAGTTACTAGATTTCTCTGTAATTAATAACTATGTTGAGGGAGATACTTTGAGACTGTGCAAACATCCTGTTTCTCTTCAAATTTTCACTCACGGATATTAATATTCATAGCTGGACCTTGCCTACAACAATCAATATGGTGATTTTCTAATGAAGGTTTTATATTTCTCTTATTCATTCTAGATTTAACCATTGAAATTTTTCTGTAAGGAATGACTCTCCCATATCCCCAATTTATTTATTTATTAAAAAGTTAATTGATATCACTATGATCTCATGAACATTTATTTTATGGAATTTAATCCAATACTTTTATGATTTATTGTGCTGTTGAAATTATTCTACCGTTAGCTAATAGGTGCTCTTTCAGAATAGCTACTGTGCCTTTTTCACGTGTTCTCATCCTTTACTGTGCATATACTTATGTCCTGATGCCATGTAATATTCCAGGTTTCATCTTGCATTTTCCCTGCTCATAGCCTGGTATCAAACACTTCACAAAGGAGATCTGGTTCCTTATATTGGAGAATAATATTTAGAAGCCAAGATATAGGTGTAAGTATGCTTGTGGCAACTGTGTCATTGTTTTCAGGCCCTCTCAGTGAACAGAGCTCACAAATACCTGCATGCATACTAATCCATGCATACACACACATAAATATGGATCTATGTAAGTGTATGTATGTATCTATCTGTGAAAGCATGAGTTTACTCTGATTCTAATCCAACACAACAGGGTTAAAGCTTTATATTTAAAGTAGACTTCTTGGAGAGGAAAAATGGCGGTTAGGAGGCAGGTCTAACTTGCAGTTCCCACTCAGACAGGCAGAACAGCACATGAAGACTCATATCATGAACTTTTGCTTCAAGAACTACTGCAGGAACATATCAGAAAAACTGAAGTAAGTCACAGATCCTTTGAAAGAAGCCACTTGCCGCTGTAAACTCTGTGTGACAGCTGAAAAACTGTAAGTGCTCAAAGTGTGAAAAGGGGGGAAAGTTTTCACACTTCTGAACACATATCCTCACTGGGGAACCTGAAAATTCAGATCATGGGAGAAGGATTTAACCATATGTAGGACTGAAACAAATTTAGAGAGCTGAGCAAAATATAAAGGTAGAAGCAGCAGGAAGAGCCCTGTAGGCACTCCTGGTCCCCAGGGATGCCTAGGGAAACCATTTCTGACTTTATCTCACAGGGATCCTTGGGGAGGACTGACAGTGGAATTATCAGTGGAAGGACCACAGGTAAAAGAAAGCTTCCATCTGAGCTTTGTAATAGTTTCGACCCAGCACAAATTTTCCAGGGCAGAATTGGCATGGGGGTTTGCGGGCCGGCCGGTTGGAGGTGATGGGGAGGGGGGCGGCATGCAAATAGGAAGTGCAGGCAGGCAGGAAGGGGTAGGGCCTGAGAGCCCTGCTTGCTTTCTCAGCAGGGAGGCTTGTAGCCTGGGGCATGATCTCAGCCCTGCTCACCAGCTGTCTGGATGTAAACTTGGTGCTACTGGGGAGGCATGGTGGGAGTGAGACAGGTTTTGCTGGCTGCATGGGAGCAGGGTGAGGCTTGTCACTGCCAGCTTTCCCACACTTTCCTAGCGACAGTATGATGCAACAGAGGCAGCCATAATCCGGCTGGGAACACAACTTCATTGGCCTGAGAACTCACCCCCATCCCCTCAGCAGTTGCAGCAAGCCCTGCCCAAAGGGAGTTTTAGCTCAGACACACCTAACACTGCCCTGATGGTCTTTCTTTACCTGCCCAGGTAGCCAAAGACAAAAGAAATAATCTCTTGGGAGCTCTATGACCCCACCCATCACATGAGAAACCTGAATACTTATCCAGGTGACCTTAGGGCAAGCTTGTATACCCCCTATACTACCGCAGCTCATGCTTTCTTGAAAGTGCCACCTCCTGGCTGGAGGCCAATCAACTCAAGCCATTACATAAACTCATAAAAGAACAAACCCTACTCCAAGAAAAGAGAAAACATCTAATTTCACCACCTGTAACATCCTGGCTAACCAGAGGTCCTGAGTCTGTTCACATGACAACTTCACTGCTAGCACAATCAGGATTCCAGAAAACCAGTGCACTAAACAAAATTACAACCAAGGGATCACACTGAGTCCAGTTTACTTCACTGCTACCTCCACCAGAGCGGGTGCTGGTATCCATGGCTGAGAGACCTGAAGAAGGATCACATCACAGGACTCTTTGCAAACACTCCTCCATACCAGCCAAGAGCCTAGTAGCTCTGCTGGGTGGCTAAACTCAGAAAACCAATAACAATCGCTGCAGTCCAGCTCTCAGGAAGCAATATCCCTAGGGAAAGGGGGAGAGTACCACATCAAGGGATCATCCCATGGGACAAAATTACCTGAACAGCAGCCCTTGAGCCACAGATCTTTCCTCTGACATAGTCCACCCAAATGAGAAAGAACTTCCTAAACAATTCTGTTAATGTGACAAAGCAAGATTATTTAACCACCCCCAAAAGATTCCACTAGCTCACCAGTGATTGACCCAAACGAATAATAAATCTCTTAATTGCTAGAAAAAGAATTCAGAAGGTCAATTGTTAAGCTATTCAAGGAGGCACCAGAGAACAGTGAAAACTGACTTAAAGAAAAAAAAAAAAAGGACATGGATGAAAAAATCTCCAGAGAAAAACATAGCATAAATAAAAAGCAATCACATCTGGAAATGAAATACACAATTAGAGAAAGGCAAAATACTCTGGAAAGTTTCAACAATAGAACTGAACCTAGGAAAAACCTCAGACCTCTAAGACAACACTTTTGAATTAACCCAATCAGACAAAGACAAAGAAAAAAATAAAAATAAATGAACAAAACCTCCATGGAGTTTGGGATTCTACTAAACAACCAAACCTACGAATAATTAGTGTTGTCAAGGAAGAAGAGATATCTAAAAGTTTGGAAAATTTATCTGAGGAAATAACCATGAAACGCTTCCTTAGCCTTGCTGGAGATCTACATATCCAAATACAAGAAGTTCAAAGAACAACTGAGAAATTCAATGCAAAAAGATAATCACGTAGGCACAGAGTCATCGGGTTATCTAAAGTCTAGATGAAGAAAAGAATCTTAAGAGCTGTGAGTTGAAAGCATAGGGTAACTTATAAAGAAAAATCTACCAGATTAACAACAGATTTGTCAGCAGATATCCCAAAAGCTACAAGGGATTGGGGTCTTATATGTAGCCTCCTTAAACCAAACACTTAACAGCAAAGGATTTTGTATCCAAAAAAACTAACCGTCATAAATGAAGGAAAGATAAAGTCTTTTCAGACAAACAAATGCTGAGAGAATCTGCCACTACCAAGCCAGCTCTATAAGAACTGCTAAAAGAAGTTCTAAATGTTAAAAAAAAAAAAAAAAACAAACTTCAAAAACACACTAAAATTGAACCTTCTTAAAGCATAAATCTCACAGGACCTATAAAACAACAACACAATAAAAAAAAGACAAGGTATTCAGGTAACAACTAACACAATGCATTTCAATAATAATGTTTAATGTAAATGGCCTAAATGCTCCACTTAAAAGATATAGAATGACAGAATGGATAAGAAGTCACCACCCAAGTATCTGCTATATTCAAGAGACAATCCTGACACATAAAGATTCACATAAACTTAAGGTAAAGGGGTGAAAAAATACATTCCATGCAAATGGACATCAATAGTGAGCAGGAGTATTTTTCTTATGTCAGATAAAACAGACTGTAAAGCAACAACTGTTAAAAAAAAGAAAAAAGGGACATTACATATTGATAAAATGTCTAGTTCAACAAGAAAATATCATAATCTTAAATATCTATGCACCTAACAATGGAGCTCCCAAATTCATAAAACAATTACTTCTAGACCTAAGAAATGAGAGAGACAGCAACACAATAATAGTGGGGGAGGTCAGTACTCCACTGATAGCACTAGATAGGTCATCAGGACAGAAAATCAACAAACAAACAATGGACTTAAACTATACTCTAGAAGAAATGGACTTAACAGACACTTACAGAACATTCCATCCAACAACTGTAGAATACACATTCTATTCATCAACACGTGAAACATTCTCCAAGATAGACCGTATGGTAGGTCATAATACAAGTGTCAATAAATTTAAGAATATCAAAATTATATCAAGTATTCTCTCAGACCACAGTGGAATAAAAGTGGAAATCAGATCCAAGGGGAACCCTCAAAACCATACGAATACATGAAAATTAAATAACCCACTCCTGAGTCACAGTTGAGTCAAAAATGAAATCAAGGCCTGAGCATGGTGGCTCATGCCTGTAATCCCAGCACTTTGGGAGGCTGAGGCAGGTGAATCACTTGAGGTCAGGAGTTCAAGATCAGCCTGGCCAACATGTTGAAAACCTGTCTTTGCTAAAAATACAAAAAAATAGTGGGGCATCATGGCACATGCCTGTAACCCCAGCTCTTGGGAGGCTGAGACAGGAGAATTGCTTGAATCCAGGAGGCAGAGGTTGCAGTTAGCCAAGATCTTGCCATTGCACTCCAGCCTGGGAGACAGAGCAAGAATTCATCTAAAAAAAAAAAAAATAGAAATCAAGATGGAAATTTAAAACACCTTTGGACTGAATGATAATAGTGACGCAGCCTGTCAAAACCTTTTGGATACAACAAAAGTGTTGCTAAGAGGAAAGTTCATAGCATTAAATGCTTACATCAAAAAGTCTGAAGGATCACCAATAGGCAATCTAAGGTCATACCTCAAGGAACTAGAGAAACAAGAATAAACCAAACCCAAACCCAGCAGAGGGAAAGAAATAACTCAGATCGAGCATAACTAAAGAAAACTGAAAAAGAAAAAATAAATAAAAGATCAATGAAACAAAAATCTGGATCTCTGAAAAAATAAGCAAAATTGATAAACCATTAGTGAGATTAACCAAGAAGATGGAAAATCCAGATAAGCTCAATTAGAAATAAAACTGGAGATAGTACAAATGATACCACAGAACTATAAAAGATTATTCAAGGCTGCTATGAACACCTTTATACCCACAGACTAGCAAACCTAGAGGAGATGGATAAGTTTCTAGAAATATACAACCCTTGTGGAATAAACCAGGAATAAATAGAAACTGTGAACAGGCAAATAACAAACCACAAGATTGAAATGATAATAAAAAGAAATTGCAAAGAAAAAAAAAAAAAAAGGCCAGGACCAGATGGATTCACAGCTGAATTCTATCAGACATTCAAAGAAGAATTGATACCAATCCTATTGAAACTTTCTAAAAAACAAAGAATCCTCCTTAAGCAATTCTATGAAGCCATTATCATCCCAATACTAAAACCAGGAAAAGGCATAGCAAAAAAAGAAAACTACAAACCAATATTCCTGATAAACATAGATGAAATATGCTCAACAAAATACTATCTAATCAAATCCAATAGCATAGTAAAAAGGTAATTTGCTATGATCAAGTGGGTTTCATACCAGGGATGCAGGGAGAGTTCAACATACACAAGTCAACAAATGTGATATATCTCATAAACAGAATTAAAAACAAAAATCTTATAATGATCTCAATAGATGTAGGAAAAGCATTTGACAAAATACAGCATCACTTTATGATTAAAACAGTCAGCAAAATTAGCAAGAAGGGACATACTTTAAGGTAATAAAAGCCATCTATGACAAACTAACAACCAACATTATACTGAACAGGGAAAAGTTAATAGCATTCTCCCTGAGAACTGGAACAAGACAAAGATGACCACTTTTACCACCTCTATTCAACATAGTACTGGAAGTGTAGCCAGAGCCATCAGACAAGAGAAAGAAATAAAGGGCATCAAAATGACTAAAGAAGAAGTCAAACTGTCACTATTCACTGATGATATGATGTATACCTAGAAAATTCTAAAGACTCATCTATAAAACTTCTAGGTATGATAACTGAATTCTGTAAAGTTTCAGGATACAAAGTCAATGCAAACAAATTAGTAGCTCTGCTATACACCAACAGCAATCAAGCTGAGAATCAAATCAAGAATTCAACACCTTTTACAATAGGTAAAAATAAAATAAAATAAAATAAAGCAAAATAAAATATTTAGTGATATACCTAAGGAGGTGAAAGACCTGTACAAGGAAAACTACAAAAAACAAAAACAAAAACAAACAAACAAACAAACAAAACACTGCTGAAAGAAATCATAGATGAGGCAAACATATGGAAACATATCCCATGCTTATGGATGGGTATAATCAATACTGTGAAAATGACCATACTTCCAAAAGCAGTCTACAAATTCCACACAATTCCAATTAAAATACCATCATCATTCTTTACAGAACTAGAAAAAAAATAAACCTAAAATTCACTTGGAACCAAAAAAGAGCCCACATAGCCAAAGTAAGACCAAGCAAAAAGAAATCTGGAGACATCATCTTCCCTGAATTTAAAGTATACAAAGCCCATAGTCACCAAAACAGCTTGGTACTGATATAAAAGTAGGCACATAGACTAATGGAACAGAATAGAGAACCCAGAAATAAACCCAAATACTTTCAGCCAATTGACAAAAACGTAAAGTGGGGAAAGGACACCCTATTCAACAAATGGTGCTGTGATAATTGGCAAGCCCAGTTAGAAGAATGAAACTAGACCTTTATCTCTCACCTTACAAAACAATCAATTCAAGATGGATCAGACTTAAATTGAAAACCTGAATCCTTAAACATTCTATTATAGAAGAGAACATTGAAAACACCCTTCTAGGCATTGGCTTAGGCAAAAACTTCATGACCAAGAACCCAAAAGCAAATGCAACAAAAACAAAAATAAATAGATGGGACTTAATTAAACTAAAAAGCTTCTGCACAGCCAAAGAAATAGTCAGCAAACAGGCTACCCACAGACTGGGAGAAAATTTTCACAATCTATACATCTGACAAATAACTAATATCCAGAATTCACAAGGAACTCAAACAAATCAGTAAGAAAGCAATAAACAACCCAATCAAAAAGTAGGCTAAGGACATGAACAGACAATTCTCAAACGAAGATATACAAATGGCCAATAAACATGAAGAAGTGCTTAACATCGCTAATTATCAGAGAAATGCAAATCAAAACCACAATGTAATACCACCTTCCTCTGCAAGAATGGCCATAATTAAAAAATCAAAAAATACTACTCACCTATAAAAACGAATCAAATAATGGCATTCACAGCAACCTGGACTGAGTTGGAGACCATTATTCTTTCACTCGCGTCTGTGTGAAGAGACCACCAAACAGACTTTGTGTGAGCAATACACTTTTTAATCACCTGGGCACAGGCGGGTTGAGTCTGAAAAGAGAGTCAGAGAAGGGAGATGGGGTGGGGCTATTTTATAAGATTTGAGTAGGTAAAGGAAAATTACAGTCAAAGGGGGGTTGTTCTCTGACAGGCAGGAGTGGGGGTCACAAGGTGCTCAGTAGGGGAGCTTTTGAGCCAGAATGAGCCAGGAGAAGGAATTTCACAAGATAATGTCATCAGTTAAGGCAGGAACAGGCCATTTTCACTTCTTTTGTGGTGGAATGTCATCAGTTAAGGCAGGAACTGGCCATCTGGATGTGTACGTGCAGGTCACAGGGGATATGATGGCTTAGCTTCGGCTCAGGGGCCTGACATTCCTGTCTTCTTATATTAATAAGAAAAATAAAATGAAATCATGGTAAAGTGTTGGACGGTAAAAATTTTTGCAGGTGGTATGGAGAGATAATGGGCAATGTTTCTCAGGGCCGCTTTGAGTGGGATTGGGGCGGCGTGGGAACCTAGAGTGGGAGAGATTAAGGTGAAGGAAGATTTTGTGGTAAGGGGTCATATTGTGGGGTTGTTAGAAGAAACATTAGTCATTTAGAATTATTGATGATGGCCTGGATAAGGTTTTGTCTGAATTGAAAAACTAAACGGAATAAGAGAAGGAGAAAAACAGGTATTAAAGGTCTGAGAACCGGGAGGACCCAGGACATCTAATTAGAGAGTGCCTAAGGAGATTCAGCATAGTCCTGCCAGCAAAGATTATTTATTTACTTTAAGAGTTAAGAGTGGCAGTTTGAGGATAGCACCAGGAGATATCAGCTGTGATGGCTTGAAGAAACAGTGTAAACTGGCAGTGTAAACAAGAGCAGGGCATGTATGAGTAGTTGAGAACGGTGAATAGGAGTGTGACTAGACAGAAGATAGTAGGGAAGACAAGTTTTTTGGGGCACAGTCTAAGTTGGTCTGGTGTCTGGAATGAGACTGGGGCCAATAAAAAGGAGTGTCTATACAGGAGCTCGAATGGGCTGTACCCTGTAGCATTCTGAGGACAGGCCTGAATTCTGAGAAGGGAAAGTGGTAAAAGTATTGTCCAGTCCTTTTTAAGTTGGTGGTTGAGCTTGGTGAGGTGTGTTTTTAAAAGACCATTAGTTCGTTCTACCTTTCCTGAAGACTGCAGACCGTAAGGGATATAAAGGTTTCACTGAATACCAAGAGCCTGAAAAAATGCTTGGCTGATTTGACTAATAAAGGTCAGTCTGCTCTCAGACTGTATAGAGGTGGGAAGGCCAAACCAAAGAATTATGTCTGACAGAAGGGAAGAAATGACTGTGGTGGCCTTCTCAGACCCTGTAGGAAAGGCCTCTACCCATCCAGTGAAAGTGTCTATCCAGATTTTAGTTTTCTGACTCAGGGCATGTGAGTAAAGTCAATTTGCCAGTCCCAGGCAGGGGCAAATCCCCGAGCTTGATGTATAGGAAAGGGAGGAGGCCTGAACAATCCCTGAGTGGTAGTAGACTAGCAGATGGAACACTGAGAAGTGATTTCCTTGAGAATAAATTTCCAGGATGGAAAGGAAATGAGAGGTTCTAAGAGACAGGCTAGCAGCTTCCTACATGGAAGAGGTTATGAAATGATGACAGAATAGAATGGGCCTGTGAGGCTGGAAGGAGATATTTTCCTTGGCCTAAGAACCATTTGCCTTGTGTAGGAAGAGATTGATAGGTGGAAGTTTCAGCAGGGGAGTAGGTGGGAGTGACCGATGTGAAGGAGAAAAACTGGCCGTGAGGGACAGAAGTTGGAAGCTAGCTGCTTGTCTAGCCACTTTATCAGCATAAGCCTTGCTTAGAGCAATGCCTTTTGATGGCCCTTGCAGTGAATGACTTCGGTTTCCTTTGGAAGTAAAGCAGCCTTGAGTAGAGTGTTTATTAAAGAGGCATTAATGATGGAGGACTTTGCCACTATGCAAAGGTGGTGAGGAAATCTCTTTCAGCCTATATAACAGCATGGTGGTGCAAGATATGGAAGGCATATTTAGAGTCAGTACAAATATTGATGTGTAGTCCTTTTGCAAGAGTGAGTGCTCGAGTTAAGGCAATGAGTTCGACTTTCTGAGAGTTAGTGGAGTGGGGCAGAAAGTATATGCATCAGGTGTGAGGAAGAAAATAGATTTTGGAAGTTATGAGAACTGTAGAGTGAGTTGAGCATAGTTTGTGATTTTGAGGGCCTCTAAAATTATTAAGGCAGTGGCAGCCACTGCACACAGACATGAGGGCTAAGCTAAAACAATGAGGTTAAGTTGTTTGGACAGAAAGGCTACAGGGTGCAGTCCTGGCTCTTGTGTAAGAATTCTGACCACACTAACCATGCCTAGGAAGGAAAGGAGTTGCTATGTTGTAGAAGGGATTGGGATTTGGGAGATTAGCTGGACACCATCAGCAGGGAGAGCACATGTGTTTTTATGAGAATTATGCAGTGATAGGTAACAGATGAGGAAGAAATTTGGGCTTGACTGAAGTAATGGGGGCTGTCTGTGAAGCCTTGTGGCAGTACAGCCCAGGTAATTTGCTGAGCCTGATGGGTGTCAGGGTCAGTTAAGTGAAAGCGAAGAGAGGCTGGGGTGAATGGTGCAAAGGAATAGTAAAGAAAGCATGTTTGAGATCCAGAATAAAATAATGGGTTTGTGGAGGGAGGTATTTAGGATAGGAGAGTATATGGGGTTGGTACCATGGGGTGGATAGGCAAAACAATTTGGTTGATAAGGCTCAGATCCTGAACTAACCTGTAAGGCTTGTCCGGTTTTTGGACAGGTAAAATGGGGGAATTGTAAGGAGAGTTTATAGGCTTTAAAAGGCCATGCTGTAACAGGCGAATGATAACAGGCTTTAATCCTTTTAAAGCATGCTGTGGGATGGGATATTGGCATTGAGTGGGGTAAGGGTGATTAGGTTTTAATGAGATGGTAAGAGGTGCATGATGGGTCGCTAAGGAGGATGTAGAGGTGTCCTATACTTGTGGTTTAAAGTGGGGAGATACAAGGAGAGGATGTGAAGGAGGCTTTGAACTGGGGTAAAAGGTGGCAATGAGGTGTGGCTGTAGCCCAGGAATAGTCAGGGAAGCAGATAATTTAGTTAAAATGTCTCGACCTAATAAGGGAGCTGGACAGGTGGTGATAACTAAAAAGGAGTGCTTTAAAGAGTATTGTCTAAGTTGGCACCAGAGTTGGGGAGTTTTAAGAGGTTTAGAAGCCTGGTCGTCAATACCTACAACAGTTATGGAGGCAAAGGAAACAGGCCCTTGAAAAGAAAGTAATGTGGAGTGGGTAGTCTCCATATTGATTAAGAAGGGGATGGACTTACCTACCACTGTGAAAGTTACCTGAAGCTTGGCATCCGTGATGGTCTAGGGGGCTTCTATTGTGATCGGGCAGCATCAGAGTTGAGCCACTAAGCCAAAAAGATCTGGGAAGGAGTCAGTCGGACAGCCTTGGGCCAGAGTTCCAGGGGCTCTGGGAGTGGCTGCCAGGTGAGTTGAACAGTCCGATTTTCAGTGGGGTCCCACATTGATGGGACATGGCTTAAGAGGAATCCTGGACTGCGGGCATTCCTTGGTCTGGTGGCCAGATTTCTGGCACTCGTAGCAAGCTCCTGAGGGAGGCAGGCCTGGAGGAATGCCTGGCCACTGTGGTTTAGGCATTTGGAAGTTCTTGTGTGCTGGAGATGTGGCTGGGGTTTGTCTCACAATGGAGGCAAGGAATTGCAACTCAGAAATATGTTACTACTTGGCTGTGTCTACTCCATTATTGTACACCTTGAAGGTGAGGTTAGTTAAGTCCTGTTGTGGGGTTTGAGGGCCAGAATTTAATTTTTGTAGTTTTATTTAATGTCAGGAGCCGATTGGGTAATAAAATGTATATTGAGAATAAGACAGCCTTTTGACCTTTTAGGGACTAGGGCTGTAAAGCATCTCAGGGTTGTTGCCAAATGAGCCATGAACTGGGCTGGGTTTTTACATTTGATGGAGAAGAGCCTAAATGCTGTCTGATTTGGGATAAAGAAAAAGGAGCATTAACCTTGACTATGCCTTTAGCTCCAGCCACCTCTTTAAGAGGAAATTGCTGGGCAGGTTGGGGAGGGCTAGTCACAACGAAACTGTAAGCTGGACCCTGTGTGAGGAGTGAAGGTGATAAAAGGATTATAGGGTGGAGGAGCAGAGACTGAGGAAGAATTGGGAACTAGCTCAGCCTGGCAAGGAGGGGAGAGGTCAGATGGGTCTGTAGAAAAGGAAGATTAGAAAGACTCTGCGATGCTTGAGGTTGGGACTGAGGGGACAGATGGGAGGGAAAGAGGGAAGATTTGGGATGAGTTGCATTGGGAACAGAGACTAGGGAGGGACTGATGTGTAAAAGAATGCCTGGACATCAGGCATCTCAGACTGTTTGCCCATTTTATGACAAGAATTATTTAGATATTGTAGGATGGAAAAATTGAAAGTGCCATTTTCTGGCTATTTGGAACTACTGTCAAGTTTGTATTGGGGTCAAGCAGCATTGCAGAAGAAAATAAGGCACTTAGGTTTTTGGTCAGGTGTGAGTTGAAGAGGTTTTAGGTTTTTAAGAATACAGGCTAAGGGAGAAGAAGGGGGAATGGAGGGCGGAAGCTTGCCCATAGTGAAGGAGGCAAGCCCAGAGAAAAGAGAGAGTAGAGACATGGAGAGAAGGGGTGGGGGGTTCCTGTCCCCCAGAAAAGCAGAGAAGGGGTAGAGACATGGAGAGAAGGGGTTGGGGTGTTCTTGCCCCCTAGAAAAGTGGTACTTGCCACTAAGGGTGAAGGAGAAGGGGTTGGGGGGTTCTTGCCCCCTAGAAAAGCAGAGAAGGGGTAGAGACATGGAGAGAAGGGGTTGGGGGTTTCTTGCCCCCCATTAAAGTGGTACTTGTTGCTAAGGGTGAAGGACCAAGGCAGGCATCCCCGTGTGGTCAGACACTTCTGAAACGTGGGTGAATAATCAGGCAGGCATCCTCGCATGATTAAACAACAAAGGAAGACTGTCTTCCCGAGTCCATGACGGGTGTCGGAGTTTTGGGTCCACAAACAAAACGCGTCGCCATCTCTACCAGAAAAGGAAAGGAGCTGAAATTAAGAGAAGGGAGAGATCAAAGTGTGGCACCAAGATTGAAAGGAGAAAGAGGTTGAGGGATAGTGAGAGAGGTTAAAGAAGAGAGTAAAAAGAGGCCACTTACCAGATTTAAAATTGGTGAGGTGTTCCTTGGGCTGGTTGGTCTGAGGACCAGAGGTCATAGGTGGATCTTTCTCATGGAGCAAAGAGCAGGAGGACAGGTGATTGATCTCCCAAGGGAGGTCCCCTGATCCGAGTCATGGCACCAAATTTCACTCGTGTCCATGTGAAGAGCCCACCAACAGGCTTTGTGTGAGCAATAAAGCTTTTTAATCACCTGGGTGCAGGTGGGCTGAGTCTGAAAAGAGAGCAAAGGGCGATAGGGGTGGCGCCATTTTATAAGATTTGTGTAGGTAAAGGAAAATTACAGTCAAAGGTGGGTTGTTCTCTGGCAGGCAGGAGTGGGGGTCACAAGGTGCTCAGTAGGGGAGCTTTTGAGCCAGGAAGAGCCAGGATAAGGAATTTCACAAGATAATGTCATCAGTTAAGGCAGGAACCGGCCATCTAGATGTGTACGTGCAGGACACAGGGGATATGATGGCTTAGCTTGGGCTCAGAGGCCTGACAATTCTAAGTGAAGTAACTCAAGAATGAAAAACCAAACATTGTATATTCTCACTTTAAAGTGGGAGCTAAGCTACAAGGACACAAAAGCCTAAGAATGATACAATGGAATTTGGAGACAGACTCAGGGGGAGGGTTGGAAGTGGGGTGAGGAATAAAAGACTACACGTTGGGTATGGTGTGCACTTCTCAGGTAATGGGCACACCAAAATCTCAGAAATCACCACTAAAGAACTTATTTATGGAACAAAACACCACTTGTTCCTAAAAACCTACTGAAATAAAAATAAATAAATGAATAAAATAAATAAAAATAAAGTAGACTTTTTATAATCAGTATATAATTGAATATTGTTTATTTATCCCAACTAACAGGCTTTTAATTCATGTCTTTAGATAATTTACGTTTAAGTAATTGATATGGTTTAGGTCTGTGTCCCCACCCTATTCTCATGTCAAATTGTAATCCCCAATGTTGGAGGTACGGCCTGGTGGGAGGTGATTGAATCATGCAAGTGGATTTCTCATGAATGGTTTAACACCATCTTCTTGGTGCTGTTATCATGATAATGAGTGAGCTCTCACGAGATCTGTTTGTTAAAGTGTGTAGCACCTCTCCTCCTCTCTTACTCCTACTCCTGCCATGTGAGACACTTGTTCCTTCTTTGCATTACACCATGATTGTAAGTTTCCCGAGGCCTCCCCAGAAGATGAGTATATACCAGCATCAAGCTTCCTGTACAATCTGTGGAACCATGAACAAATTAAACCTCTTTTCTTCGTAAATTACCCAGTCTCAGGTATTTCTTTATAGCAATATGAAAAATAACTATGGTAATTATTGATATATTTGGGTTAAAACTATATTTTGCTACGTGTATCTTAATTGTTCTCTTTGCTTTTTGTTTCTGTTTCCTTCTTGGTTTGCTTTCTCTAGATTTAGTTAGGTACTTTTATATTATTCAGATTTATATTCACTCAGCTTATTTATATTATGTTTTGTATACACCTGTGTTTATAAGACACATCTTTAATTAATGAGATGCTACCTTCAATTATTTTTATATTTCTTCACATGCTATGTAAGAACTTTACAAATTATATTCCTAATGTACCCTACCATTCTTCACACTATTGTTCCCATACACTTTATTTTTACCTATGCTATAAACACAAAATATATTGCTATCATTTTTCCTTTAGTTTTTAAGAATAATTAAAAATAAGACAATAAATATTATTTTAAATGTTTTTATTACATTTACACGTATCTTTATTTCCTTGTGTTGATTAGCTTCTCTCTGGTACATGCATTTTTCCAGAATTTCTTTTAAGCATCTTGTAGTATATGTCTGCCAGTGATAAATTCTTCATTGTTGTTTCAGAAATTCTTTATTTTTCCTGTATTTTTGAAAACTGTTTTTGTTAAATACAGAATTTTGGTTTGACAGATGTTTTTCTTTTAATATTTTAAACATTCTACCCCATTGCCTTTTGATATAAGACAAGAAGTCTGCTCTATTGCTTATCTTTGGTTTTTCCTCTGCCTGTGATGTGCCTTTTTCTTCTGGATGCATTTACATGTGTACATACATGCATACACGTACACATACACACACACACATACACACCTAGGGTTACGATACTTAAACCATTAAAAACAAAATAAACAGATAAAAATTTGTTACTATAAGGTATTCATACTTTCTGTTAAATAGTATAATGTTTTTTGAAAGTTAACTTGATTTAGTTGTAAATCTATATTGCAAACTCTGGAGTAACTACAAAAAAACGTAAAAGAAAGAAAAAAATACAACTTATATGCAAAAAGGAAGAGACAATAAAATCATACAACATACTCAACTAAAACCATAAAAGACAAAGAGCGAAAGACAAAAATAACAAAAAACAAGGGCAACAATTATAAAACAGTAATAAACAGGATAGATATTGTTTATATCCAACTTGGTAGGATCCTAGTATGGAATTATGCTCTAGTGCTATGATTAAGCCTCAAATTTTAGAGGGGGACTGCATTTTCTGGGTCTCAGGTATACGAAATTCACAAGTACCCCTGCTCCTCCTCCACCTTTAGTTTGGGGCCCATCACATGCTCCAATCCCTCTCCCAGTAGGGGAGTTTTATTTTATTTTCTCCCTCTGTTCTTATGCACTGAATGCAATGAATTCTCAGCAATATTCTAAAGGTGAGATTTTTTTTTTAGTTGCTTTTTCATCGCAGATTAACAAGTTTATCCCATGAGAAAAGGGAGAAAGGTCTGGTCAGTTTCATGCCCATCTTGTGATGGCTGCTGTTTACTCACCTGGCCTATATCTGGAGGCAATTTTTCCCAGGACTCTTCTTAGGTTTCCTTGTGATAAACTGAAAAGGTTTATGGGGGAAAAAGGTGTGACCTACTCCTCATATTTGGTTCACAGGGGCTTTACCCTCTCCTATCAGCTGATTCTCATCCTTTCTCAATATGTTATCTTTCAAAAATCAGTGTACGGAGACATCTCTTCCAATCATTTGCATGTAATCTCGCCCTGTAAGTGCCTGCTCTCCTATGATTTTGGGTTACTTGTTTGTCCTACAATTGCAGCTCTCTGAAAGTTTCTAAAAATTTCATGAACTTGCATTTTACTCAGATTTTTTTTGAAGCAAGGATGAAACTAATGAATTTTCAAGCTCTCTACTTCCCTGAGCAAAACCCCAGAAGTCTTCCTTGTTGTTTAAATCCAGTGTTTTACCTGTACTCTGAAACTCATTTCTAATAACCACCTCTGGGATATCCCTTTAACCATTACCTTATTTTTACTTGCAGATCCACCACCTCTCTTGATAGGCTATTCCCCTACCATTTAAAAATACTCCTGGAACTTCCTTTCCCTAATAAGCACCAAATTTGAAACTACCTGCTTTATTTTCCTGATATCATTGAATCTCCTTTCATTATGAGTTACTGAAATCCAATTTCTACCCTATCCACAACTTTATGGGTACTGATGTCTGGTTTATTTCTGTTTGTTGGCCAAATATTTTAAAATATTCTTCTTTTGAAATTTCTAGACATGGCACCTACCAGGTTATTCTCTTACTTTTTTCCAATTATTACTTTTTCTGCCTTACTCCAGACTCTTTGCTTGATTTCCTACTTTTTTTTCTCTCAGAAAATTCTTATGTTTATAGTCTCAATTTTCATCATTATTTGGTGCATGCTAGATTCAGGTGAAATCATACTTTGAGCCTGAGATATACTTTTAGGCATTTATTGTGGGAGGGTCTTGAGGTCAAAACCAACAGGAGAAGAGTAAAAAGTAAGTTTGGACAGAGTGAGAAGTTGGGCTGTAGCATAGATTTCACAAAGACATCTGCATTCTATATGGCACTCTGGAGCAAAGATAATTGTTTAGGATTGTCTCTCAATGTGGAAAGTGGAGCCAGGCCTTTGGCACCACTTCTGTCCTTTCTCCACCTCACCAAAAATGCCTCCAAACCCCACAGCCTAGGCAAATTCATTAACCAGTCATGTTATTTTATATGCTCCAGAGAGGAAGCTATAACCCTGTGTATGGTATAGTTCTCTTTAGCCAAAGGCAATGTGTGACTAAGGTAATTTTTCTATGATCTTTTAGTTGTCAATAGCCTCAGAAGCTGGAGGTATTAATGTTTTACTCTGAAAATAGAATTTGGGTGCATACCACAGTGTCCATTCTGGTGGATGACCTCAAATCTACATAACAAAGATGTATCCCTCATGTGATTTCTCGTTTCATGCTTTCTCCATGTTAAATGGAACAACTACAGAAGGTGTAATATACACATAATAAAAATACTAGGAGAAGAGAGAAAGGAACATAAAAAAATTGGAACAATAATGACAGAAAATTTCCCCTGTATAAGACACCAAACCACAGATCAAAAAAGCTCAGAGAAACTCAACTAGGATAAATGCCAGAAAAACTACAACTAGGAATGTCATTTCAAATTACAGAAAATCAAAAATAAAGAAAAAATTACTGAAAACCAGAGGAAAAGCACCTTACCTAAAGAGGAGCAAAAATAAACATAGCATCCAACTTCTCTTCAAAAACTATAAAAAAGTGTATGGAGTGACATCTTTTAAAGCATTGAGAGAGGAAAAAAAAATGGAACTTAAATGCACGTTACTATGTAAAAGCAGCTAGTCTGAAAAGAACGCGTACTCTGTGGCTACAACTCTATGACATACTGGAAAATGTAAAATTATGGAGACAGTTAAAAGATCAGTGGTTAAGCGTTAGGGGAAGGATAAATAGATGGCGCATAGAGGATTTGGGGGGCAATGAAACCATTCTGCATGATACTGTTATGGTAGGTACATGTCATTGCACATTTTTCCAAACCCATAGAATGTACAACACCATGATTGAACCCTAATGTAAACTATGGACTTTGCATAATGACATGTCAATGTTGATTAGTCAATTGTAACAGATGTATCATTCTGGTGGAAGATGCTGATAATTGTGAAGGCTATTCATGTGTTGGATATACTGGAAATTTCTGTAACTTCTGCTCAATTTTGCTGTGAAACTGAACTGCTCTAAAAAATAACCTATTAAAAAATATAGATATATTTACTGTAAAGCAACAGTATTCAAGACAGTGTGAAATCGACAACAGAATGCATGAATCTTTTTCTCACTTTCTCTTTCAGATTAGAAAATTTTTCAAATGAGATTTGATAAATATTATTAAGTTTACTCTAAAGTTATGTTCCTGATTTTAAAATATTTAACCTTTTAAATTTTCTCAGTAATTTGTTTTGGTTTAATACATAAAGCAAGCAGCTAAATTGCAACTCAGTTTTTTATTGCTTCAATGCCATTAATTTCATAATTCTCACCATCTTCATACATTTGTAATGTTTAGTTAATTATATAAAAATTATATACGCAAGTGTAGAAAAGTGAACTGCTAGTGATATATGTCTTGGTCATGTCATCCTTGTCAGGAAGAAAAGCCCACTGGGGCATACAGATATTTCTGACATCCACCTGCTTCTAGGATAAACTATATTTGTGAAGTATGTTTAACTATGTTTCTTTAAGAAAGAAAGTTTTCATTGTTGAAGCAAAAATGTTTAATAAAACTTATCCTATTTGTTTACAGGGTCAAAAAGGAAAGCTTTAAACTGCAGTATGGAATACTAGATATTTACTGTCTTCCGTTTCTAAAGGAGAGTAAGATAAATTCTGATGTACGTGTATGCAGACTTTGGGAGTGTTATGGGTTGAATTGCATTCCCTCAAAAATTTACATGTGGAGACCCTAACTCCAGTACCTCAGAATATTACTTTTATTTGGAGAAAAGGCCTTTAAATAAGTAATTAAGTTAAAATGGAGGTGTTAGGGTCAGCTCTAATCCGATATGACTGTGTCCTTATAAGAAGATATTAGCACACAGACAGAGAGACACCAGGTCTAAGCATGCACAGATCGAGGGGCCACTATGTGAGGTTACAGCAAGAAAATGGAAATTTCCAGGACAACAAGAGAGATCTCAGAACAAATTAAACCTGCCAATATCTTGATCTTGGACTTCTAGCCTCCAGGATTATGAGAAAATTAATTTCTATTGTTTAAGCCACTCAATCTGTGGTGTTTTGTTATGGCAGCACTAGCAAACTAACAGAGGGAGTCTGTCTGAATATATTATTAATGCAGTTCAAGAGAAGGACTTACTGGTTCTAAATCACCTGGCATTGGGCAAGGTGAAATAAAATAGGTAGTATACTTATAATCATGCCTGGTACATAAAAACACTCAATAAGATTGTCTATATCATTACAATTAATATTACCTTCATTTCAAAGGTGATTAGTGAGCTGGGTTGCTAATCTCAATAAGGAAGGCAGCTGTGTTTAGTGAGCTAGCATTGTCCAAAGGACAATAAAAGACCATTCAAAACAATGAATCTGAATGGCAACAAAAGGTTATATCTACAATGGCACTATTGCTTACCTTTGTAGCATTTATCAGACAATCCCCCCTTTGCTTTGTGAAACCTCACCTGCGTAGGATTCTTAGAAAGTATATTTATAGGGCAGACAAATGGAGATGACATTGGACTTGTTTCATCATGTGGGCCTTGAGAGGGTTTTAAATAATTTGGAGAAATAAGTCATGTAACTGAGGGCATCTCTGAGCCTTAGGTAGGTTCATACTCATTTGACTGATGTCTATTTGGGAGCCATTTTTAATAGATTTTTATGGATCTTTTAAATTGATCTTTTATTAATATATAATTCATTGGTGGGTTACTGATAAAATTAATAAATCTTAACTTACATCAAGGACTGAAAGAACATTTGATGGATATTTTAAATAATATATTAAACTCTAGACAGAAAAATGTGATTCCTTATAATTTATAATGCTTTCATTATGAATCAGAACTGCTGATATCAGAACATTTCTTTATATTATGTACCACTAAAATTAAACTTCCATTAAATAAATGCTAGAAAAATGAAAGCATGTTATATTTTGGTTATTTTCTTCTGAAATACTATACGTAAAATGGATATTACTAAGCTAATGTGATGATTCCATACGTTCAGGAAAAAGAAGCTTTTTATTCCTTTTCTTAGTAGAAAGGGTCTAGAAATGCCAGGTTTAATCTAATATAACTAACTTTTATTACTAAAGGAGCTTAAACTTCAAAAAATGAAACTATTAAATAGATTAAGAAACAATATGTGAATTGAATCTCATTTGAGATTAAACAACTGCTTTGGGTTACATGTGTAAGCTGTTTCACCTATTTCTTACTTAGGAATGGGCTTGCCTAATTCATTTTTTTTTTTTTTTTTTTGCAACCACCAAAAATGTGACAGGAAAACAATTAATTTTACTTTAATGTCTCTTCATTACTATCTATCCTATCATTTTAATCAAAGCACCATGCAAAATTTGGAAATATTCAAATGTCCATGGAAATTGTTGAATCTGTTTTGTTTTATCATGAGACAAAAGTAATTGAGTAAAATACTCGGCTAAGGGAATTGTTAACTTTTTCTCTCAATACTTATTTAATTTCATTTGGTTATTCATTACTTAACTGTTAAACAGTTACATAACGCTAAAGCTTTCTGACCCTGGATCTAGATCATTTGCTACAGGTAAAATAGGAAAAAAGAAATATCTATGACTGGCCAGTGGCCTGGAAGAATTAGCCAATGACATCATTTTCTGGGGTTGCATTTCTAAGTGAAAGGTGGCATGTATATAATGGCTAGGATATATCATATACAGGATGATGTCTCCAGAGCACTTCTGCCACAACTCTAATACTTGGTTTTACTGTCATCTTCAGCAGTTACTATGACTTTAGAGAGCAACAGTAATACAAAAATAATAACCTGAACAAAGATTTATAATTGTCATTTCCTGTCACTGCCATTTTGAAGAATTGATGTCACAATAAAGAATGAAACATTATCTAAATTACATATTTCTCAGTATAGGCAAATATATAATAATCACAGATATTGATTGGGTGCCTAACACCAATATTATGATTATTAATGGAAACTTTTTATGTAAACTCAGTAAACAGTTTGAAAAGAAAAATGAAGGATTTTAACATTCAATTTCTGGTATCATTTATAGCTTGCTCCTAGGTCTATTTTTATGTGATCATCTTTATTTTACCCTTGGTCTAAGAAAAACTTAGAACTTTTCACGCAGAAGGTTTTATATACATAAATGAAATGGCATTTAACATAGTAGCTGCAACATTTTTTTTTCCTGGAAGAAAATTTGTATAAATAAGTAGAATAAACCATTTGGTTAACCTCCGTGAAAATCATAGCTACTCTAGGAATGTTCACTGGGCACAATGGTGCCAGAAAAACAAGTTGTTTGCACAAAAGTGTGACAGCATCATCCAATTCTCTGTAACAGAGCAAACCATTTGCTTTCAAGCAAATATTGAATAAAGAGAATGTCGAATTTTCCATTTGAGGCATAAAGGTTTTAAAGTTACAACAAATTATTCCATATCAAGATAGAATTTTAACATTTCTCCCTAATTTGTATATGTAAAAAGATTTTTGGAATATACCTGACAAAATATGGCTTAAAAAGTGAAGAATTCATTACTTGAAAAAAGTGTCAATTTAGAGACATCATACATTAATATTTTTGTGTATTTTAGGTTTGTTTTCTGTATTTTTATCTTATTAACCTCCACTGGTTTTCTCCTCATTTCTTTCATTTAACAAAATATTTTGAGAGCCTAGAACTAAGGTAATATTGTTGAAGAAGATATATAAAACCACGGTGTACTGGATATTATTGCTGTGTAATAAATGACACCCAAACCTAGCAGCTTAGCACACATTTATCATTTTGTTGTTTCTGTGTGTCAGGAATCTGGACATGGCCTAGGTAAGTGCCTGTTACAGTTCTGTCATATGATTGCAGTCAAGCTATGGGCTGGGGCTGTCGTTTCTTCTGAAGGCTCAACTTCAGGAAAGACTCATTTCCAGGTTCACCATATGTTTGTTGCCAGGTCTTAATTCCTGACCTAGTGGGCTTCTTTAGTACCTGGAGTTTCCCAGGGCAGGTGACCCAAGAGAGAGGGAGAGAGATTTAAATGTACCTATGAGAGAAGGCACAGTTTTCTGGTAACCCAATCAATGGGGTGACATTCTATATAACTTTTATTGTTTTCTGTTATTTGAAACAGGTTCTTAAACCCAGAGACCACAGTAAGGGCAAGGTACTACATAAGGGCATGAATATCAACAGGCAGGGATCACTCACAGCCATTTTCAAGACTGCCTGACTATAACGAGCTTATCCAGTAGATATTTTCAGCTTTAGGTTCCTTGGTACTTAAATTACCATGCACATAGGATAATATTAATAAGCAAATTAATGAACATAACATATATATAATATATATAAATAAGTAAATTAATGAACACATATATTATATATAATACAATATATTCTATATTGTATTATATATACATATATTATATATATTATATTGTATTATATATACATATATATTATATATTGTATTATATATAATATGTATTATATATATTGTATTATATATACATATATTATATATTATATATTGTATTATATATACATATATATTATATATTGTATTATATATAATATATTATATATTATATATTGTATTATATATACATATATATTATATATTGTATTATATATAATATATTACATATTATATATTGTATTATATATACATATATTATATATTGTATTATGTATACATATATTATATATTGTATTACATATACATATATTATATATTATATATTGTATTACATATACATATATTATATATTATATATTGTATTACATATACATATATTATATATTATATATTGTACTACATATACATATATTATATATTATATATTGTATTATATATATATTATATATTATATATTGTGTTATATATACATATATTATATATTATATATTGTGTTATATATACATATATTATATATTATATATTGTGTTATATATACATATATTATATATTATATATTGTGTTATATATACATATATTATATATTATATATTGTGTTATATATACATATATTATATATTATATAATGTGTTATATATACATATATTATATATTATATAATGTGTTATATATACATATATTATATATTATATATTGTGTTATATATACATATATTATATATTATATATTGTGTTATATATACATATATTATATATTATATATTGTATTATATATACATATATTATATATTATATATTGTATTATATACATATATTATATATTATATATTGTATTATATATACATACATTATACATGATATATTATATATATTATATATATAAAATATATATTATATAATATATTATATAATATATATAATAATATATAATTATTATATATTATATATTATATATTATACATTGTATTATATATAATATAATATATTATATATTACATATTTATATATTATATATACTTATATATTTATATAATAATAAATTAAAATATAATATATCTATGTATTTTGTCCAGATCTCTCAGGGATGAACAAATAAATATTTTGTACTGCACCATTTTAAAAAAGTAAGCATTAAATATGTCTTAAGAGATTTATTTCTTGCAATATCATATGCAAAATTCCTTATCATATTTCCATTTCCAAGTCTTGCTTGGGGTTCAAATGTCACACTGCACTAGCTACATGGAAGAGAAAGGAGAGGAGTACTACACAGAGTGCTTTAGGAAAAAAATTTGTTCTCTTTCATTTGTGTTGAAGCTTTCTATTCTATTCTACTATGATTGATGTTAGAGAATATTAGTTTGTCTTCATGCTCCTGATATTTTTCTTCCTTCCATGGAACACAATAATCACTCCAGTGTCAGTTTATTATCTTGGTATTTTGGGAAAAATGGGTTTTGTAAATGGAAGGAAGTTGGGTAGGTGTGTTAAGAGGATATGTTGGGGTTAGGACTGATACTAATTCCTCTTCTGTGTGGAAGGTCATGGACTTACAGTGTGATATGTATTGACTAAAAAAGTAAAGGAAAGTGGTATTTTTGCACATTCTGAGCTTGTGGTTTAATATTCATACTCACGATACAGGCTTAAACCTGGCCCCCTTAGCTTTCCAAGAATGGGACTACAACATAAGCAAGAGAAAATTCTAGACATTGGTTGTATAACATGAGCTACCTTGGAAGAATGGAAAGTTTCAGCTACAAAAATAGTTGAAAAACATAAAGTTGCCTTTTCCAGTTCTCTTTTTTATAAAACTGCCCTTCCTTCTAATAAAATTCCACTTCTTTATTATAATAAGTAGTATGCTATGTATGTGACTTGAGGATAATAATTATGTTATATGAAGAAAATACATGTTGCTTTCTTCTAGAAATTAATTGAATATAAACGTCAAGCAAGGGTTTTTTTTTCACATAATTACAACAATTGCATTTTTTTATGGTTCCACAGTAACCCAATAATTTTAAGTGCTGTATTTACTTAAAAATCTCTCCTACTCCTGAGCATTTTAGGTTATGCGATTTATTTTGAAAGAGCTGACTGATGCATAAGAAAGGTTAAGTGTGGGTTTGCATGGTGGGGAGATATCAATCTTTAGAATTTTTTTAGAACAATTCAAATGTCATAAGTTTCTGCTGATGAGTGTTCATTTCCTCAAATAATTTTTCTGTGACTATGTGGATTTAATTTACCTGATACATTTCTTTGATGAACTCAAAAGAGTATAAGTTAAGGAGATGAGACATGAAATCTCAAGCAAAAAGAAAATAAAAATACTGTAGGTTTCTTCTTCATATCCAATCTAAATTTAGGTGAAATTTGTCAGTTGGAGGTTAAAAAATAATTAGGTATTACAATAAAAACAGATATATATATCAAAGGCAAAAATTTGAAAACAGATCTCCACAAGGTTTCCAGAAAAAGCTACTTAAACTTAGTTAAGCATGAAACAAGCACATGTCCAAAGATAAGAAGGTCTTAGCTGTTATAAGACTTTGTCCAACCAAGGACTGTGCAATGGAGATTCTGTTTTGAATGTATAAGTGTAATTAAAGGAATGACAAATATTATTAATTCTGTTCACTTTTTCCTAATTGTGAAAATGGCTAATTCAAAATATTAGAAAAATACCATTTAATAAAATCAAAATTACAAATATGATTTTGAAAAATTCAAATCAAATTATAAAACATACAATGTACAACACATAACACTTGCTCACTAGGTAGTCCTCAAGAACCAGACACATACCACATTCTCTTTGTATTCCCTGCATAAAGTAAATACAGGACATACAACAAGCATCAGATAAATATTTAGTGAGATCAAGAATAAGATGGCATCGAGAAGATCCAAAGATGTATAAATTATAGTAGTCACAACTGCCATTTAAGAGATCATTCTGATTACAGTGACTGTGCTCTGCATTTTAGAGGTTTCATCCCATTTCATCATCATCCAAATTAGAGTAGGCATTATTATTCCTATTTTAATAATAGAAAAGCTGAGCCTCAAATAGATAAAGTAACTCAACAGGGTGATATAATAAGTTTAGGGACAAGGATTCAAATGTAGGTATCTGAGTTGAAGCCCGCACACTGGAGTATGCCATGTGGCCCAATACTTAGGGTCCTTATCCTGTAGGCAGCATAGTCTTGCAGATGACCAGTTTTCTCAGTTCTTGTTTCTGGTTTCTAAGTTATGACAAATTTTCTCTATGCAATTTGTTATAACCCTTTACAGGTTTATTAGAAAGCTGAAGGTGGAATATTAAATTATGTCATTATAGTATATAAATAAATCAAACAGATGAATTCAGAATAAATAATACTGAATAGGCAGCAGAAGCAAATTATTTAACCTAGTACAAGAACTTTTGCTATTTAGGAATTTCTTCCCTTCAGTTAGATTTGGTTAAACCAAATTAGAACTAAACTCATTTTGAATTGAGTTTAATCTGCCCCTGAAAAGTTGACATGTATGTGAATAGATAGGCCATGACAAATGGTCAAGAACTAAGTTTCTAGGTACCTATTCCAGACACTAAATCTCATTAACTTGAAAATGTTTGTACGAAAGTGTGGTCCTTGTTTCTGAGTCGCAAATAAAAAATAAAATATAAATGGGAAAAAGCTATAAAAGGATCTTTTAACACAGACATTTATAATTTCAGAATTTAAATTTTAGTTTCATTTTTAAATATTTTTTTGCAAAACATGGTCCTAACACAGGAGTCCTATCACTGTAATTATTAATATAGTACTACAAAAAGAGAATCTTAGAATAGCAAGAGTATTTGTGTGCATAGAACTAATGCCTAATTTCATGGATTGACCTTTTCTTTAAACATTTGTAAAAATTTCCAAAAATCATGTCTTCTTCATTATAAAAATATAAAGACCCCTCTTCTTCATATCATATTTAGCTGAGTTAGTTATGTAAATTGATGAACTCTCAGTTAACTATCTTTGGTTGGCTTAATGAATCCAGTTTATATCAGAAAACATTTAATTAAAACTAATTATAACCACTACAACACTATTACAAAGGTTCTGGGGCAGTCTTATCAGTTTCTTTCTTGAATTATTCCTTGGATTATAAAATAGGAATCCCTCTTAAACATATGCAGATTATCTAAATTTAAACAGATACCTCATAATAAGGTATCTCCACGAGAAGATTGTCCTATATTGGGCCGCACACATTTTTTTAAACCATATTCATTGTCCTTCACGTTAAATATGGGAAAGACAAGGGAAAAGAGATTGAGTTTTTTCTCACCATCTTTTCAAATCCCTTCTTCAAGGAAAATAGTGGACATACTGAGTTAGGTGTATATTATTTCCTCTGCACTGGAAAAAACATTTTTCACAGATGCAAGAAAGGCTTTTTTCTAAAGCTTCACATCCCTGAAACCATATTGAAGCCTAATTTTGGAGCTGCAAAAGTGGGCCTACGATACATTTGGCAGTATTGCCTAAAGCCTATTAACCCTAAAGCATGGGTTCAGGCGACTACATGTCTCCACTTTCCAAACATTCAATAGTCCCCTACTGATAAGATATTTGAAAGAGGGTAATGAAGATTAACTTAATAATAATGACCTGGAGACTAACAGATGCCTGAAGAAGAGGGATTTAAAAAATTATACACAAACATATGTACAGTTTATATTTACTAGACAGAAGAAATAGTCTTAAATACTTATCAGGGTTTTACTCCCTCATTGCCTTTCTCAAATACTAGCAGCCATGGGTTGATTAGGCTACTACTAAGTATGGCTAGAAGTGTTAAACATGAGCATGGACATTTGTTGAAGACTTGTTGCTACTCTGAAGCATTTCTAGAATCTACTTTTTTTAATGAAGAATTATTCAGAATGTGTCTTAAAGACTATCTAAGCCATCATTTATTTGCTTTCAACCATGTACTACTTGTGTGAATAGGGAGGAAAATTGTTCAAAGAACTCCCACTGAAAAGTAGGAAACATCTTCAGGGACCTTGAAATGTCTGTAGCTTTAACTTCGATTTTACTCCAACCATTCTGAAAATGAGTGAACTTCTTAACTGAAAGAAAAGAACATAATAACAATTGTTTATGCTTATCCAGATACACTTTTAACAAAGGGAGAGAGACTCCAAAGTAGTAATTGGCTTACTAAACAGTAATGCTGAGCAATAATTCAGCTTCAAATGCCAGATACAGACTGCTTTTGCTTAAGTCTTGGATTTTTCACTTCTTTGGCTCTGTGCCCTGGTGATTTATTTGATTTATTTTATTGCTATAGCTCAATTTCTCAATTGAATACTTAGTGTGGATTTCCCATGTTTCAGGCTGTTTTAAGCACTTTATCTCAAGTAATTTAATTCACAAAACAATGCTAGAATGTAGGTAGTATCTTTATGCTGGCTTTACAGATAGGAGAACTCAAACTCAGAAGTTGTAAGTAACTTGTGAGAGTCACATAGCTGTGAAATAGGAAAGTAGAGATTCTAACTCAAGAAACCAGGGTGCTAGGGCAAAGCCTGGGATTTTAAAGTTTTCATAGAGTACCTATCAAGCTCTTAACTTGGATCTGACACAAAATGTATGCCCAATTTCCTATAAGGACAATCTTATTTTAAAAAAATTACTCATTTGAAGTACCATAGGCCCCCTTATTCTACATTTTGTTTCAAGATGAAACTGTTACAAACTAACAAAATGGAAAGGGTAATAAAATATCAACAAAAGGTTAGCAGTTTTTTCACTAGATTATGAAGTTTAAAATAGATTAGGAGGGTGGTAATAAAAATGCCCACCAACTATGTCACAATCGTTAAAAAATATTCATGTATAAATCCTGTAACTTGAAAGAGAAAGGGTTGTATGCTGGAAATAAGATGGGCTCTGGTATTAAACCTATTTAGGCTCCAACCTTTTTTTTTTTTTTTCTGAGACAGAGTCTCTCACTGTCGCCAAGGCATGAGTGCAATGGCGCTATCTCTGCTTACTGCAACCTCAGCCTCCCGGGTTCAAGCGATTCTGATTCTCCTGCCTCAGCCTCCCAAGTAGCTGAAATTCCAGGCTCCTGCCACTACACCTGGCTATTTTTTGTAGTTTTAGTAGAGATGGGGTTTCACTATGTTGGCCAGGCTGGTCTCAAACTCCTGACCTCGTGATCCGCCCTCCTCGGCCTCCCAAAGTGTTGGGATTACAGGCGTGAGCCACCGTGCCCAGCCTAGGCTCCAATCTTAATTTACTAGTTGTGTGACTTGGGAAAGTTATGCAGTCTACATGAGACTTGGTTTCATCATCTGAAAAATGGGATTAATAACACTTAACTAATGGACAGATTAAGTGAACTAATGCTTAGTATGGAAGATAATGTGTACAGAATGGATCCTAAGTATGTCCTAAAAGGCAGAGAAATATACACACTAGCAGGGCCATACATTTTAATAAACACAAAGTGAACTTTACGATCTGTGTTGCAATGTTTAATTTGAAAGGCAAAATGAAAAGCAAAAAAAGAATCATCACATGGAAGCCCTGTATATCTCTTCCTAAATTCTTTTTGGAGTTTTCCTTGTTTCATTTCCGCTTTCATCATTTGTCATCTTTCCAGTTCTTTTATCCCCTCTTTAAATGTAATTAGGACACCACAGAGCTTGGACTACATAGCTGTGGAGTTAATTTGATTGCTGCTCACATAGGCCTACTGGAGTTCACTCACCGCACCTCCAACTGGTAGCAAAATGCCCACTGCAAGCTAAGAGGCCCTTAGTGGTTTCCAGGAAAGATAGAGATTTTCAATAACAACTTCCTTAATATAGCTCAATTGCTAAGATATTTTAATGGAGAAACGATCTCAGTTATATCTATCTTCAAATTTGTTGCACAGATAATTTTTCCTTATTTACTTTCTTGACTGCTTGTCTTCTACCAAATTAATGAGAGTTTTCAGGTGTTAACCACCAGAGGGAGCCATGCAATGTTATCAATATATTTCAAACTTCTTTATGCTGACAGGGAAAATGGAATCAGTTAAATGTTTTATTTACAGTACTATATAGTTCTATATCCAAAATAAAGTCGCTGCTAATTTATTTCAAACACCAAATGCACGCAAAATTGAACAATTAACATGAAGTCTTTTTATTGTTCCCTGTTTACCATTTCATTCAAAAGAGAAAGTCCCCTAAGGTACTATTTTGTGCTTGAATAAATGAAATATTTCTGGAAAGAAGAAAGATACAAGAGAATATTACTTTCCATTTATAAATTCAGTGAAAAAAACATTCACACGTAAGAGAATAAACTCTAATGAAAGGGAACCTAGGATGACTGTTAGCAGGAAGTCAGATATTTATGTATGTCCTGTTAGAGCAAAGTCATATTATAAGAAATAGAAGGTGGTTCGCTACCATTATTTACAGCGTCTATGAAAGAAGGGAGATTGGGCAGATATAAAGCCACTTAGGGACGCATTCTATGTTTTTATGAGGGAGGAAAAGAGGATACATAACTCTCTCCCAGCCCCCTATCTCTACCTTATGCTCTCTATCATCTAAACTTTCCCCTTCCTCTCACCTTGCACAGAAACACTTCAGGGATGTTGTATAGAAAGGTCTGATGCTTTTCTTTGCCATCGACATATAACACCAAAAAGTATGTGAACAGGCAGATGCATCCATGTAAACTCCTTTTTTCTGTCACTCACAAAATGCTCTTTGACTCCCTGAGTTGAAGCTTAGACCTAATAATTGTGAAACTTGTATAATGGAATGCATCTGTCAGTCACCCCATAGGCTCCTGAAGCAATGCATCCCTTCAATTCTTTTCTGCCAGCAGTAAGAAAGTCATAGATGGAGGACTATATTTTTCTGTTTACAGAGCTCTTATCATTATGAAGAATTGAAGACAATTTGGAATAATTTAACACATAAATATAAATTTTCATATTTATTAAAAACAATGTTTTGGCGGGGCGTGGTGGCTCACGCCTGCAATCCCAGCACTTTGGTAGGCTGAGGCCGGCGGATCACGAGGTCAGGAGATGGAGACCATCCTGGCTAACACGGTGAAACCCCGTCTCTACTAAAAAAATACAGAAAAATTAGCCGGCTGTGGTGGCAGGCGCCTGTAGTCCCAGCTACTCGGGAGGCTGAGGCAGGAGAATGGCGTGAACCCAGGAGGTGGAGCTTGCAGTGAGCTGAGATTGCGCCACTGCACTCCAGCCTGGGTGACAGAGCGAGACTCCATCTCAAAAAATATATATATAAATAAATAAATAAATAAATTAATTAATAATGTTTTAACCAAAAATAGATGTTTTTCTTAAAAGTGAACTGAATGGAAATTGCATTATCAAAATTAAGGGAACATCTTATATGGACTATGCAAGCATTATCTCACTAAAGAGGAATACATAATTTAAACAATTATTTTTGGAATGTTAACTCAACAGCAGAGAAAATATATTTAGAGTACTCTCATCTTGTTTGGCAGGGGTGGAGCATTATTTAATCTAAATATCTTCTCCTGGACTAAGTATACAAGTTTAATTATTAATATTATAAGCTCTACTGATTACTTAAGTCTGTAGTTACAAGTGAATCACAATATTGTATCTTATAAAACCTTCCAAGCTGATCATCCTTCAGTTTAATTCATGAATAATTAGCTGACACTCATAAGTAAAATAAAATGCAACTTATACTCATAAGTAAAATAAAATGCAACAAGAAAATCAGTTTCTGTTTTCTAAAATAAGTAGAACAGTATATAAGTTTTGTTTTCTCTCTCAGGTAAAGTAAGAAATGAAGGGCATAACAGTTAAAAGGGGATTCTCTATTTCTCTTTAGGGGTATCTGTATAGCTATGGTAGCTATTTGTGTTCTCTTGCATAGAAATTATAAAAATAGCTTTTATTATTGAGATCAATTTGGAAGACATTATTTACATCCAAACTTGTGAAATTTCCTCTTTCCATAAAAAAGTCATTTTGGTTAAATATTCGTCAAAGTTATCTTTTCCTAACCTGCCTGGTATTAGTTCTGTTACCCCTCATTTGAAAAAAAAACAAAAAAAAAAAAACAAAAACAGAGATTGTATTGTGTTAAAAACAACTTGTGGTTGGTGTTGACTTGTGGAACAACAACTTGTGGAAGGCGTCAGCACACCTTCCACTCCGGATAAGACAATATAAATAAAATACATACATTTAATAGTTCTTTTCCCCAGTTGGAATAATTTTTTAAAATCTTATTTTTTTTCACTTAGGATTTGTTATTACACTTCATTTCTTTTATCTTTTATATTTATTTTGAATGAGAACATATACCATTCTTTCCTTGTTCTTTTATCTGAGGAGCAGATTGTCACATACTTGTTTTGGAGGAAAGGATACAAAGAGATTACTTTGGGGAATAATTAGATATCAGAGACAACAAAGACAGGCTCTTTGACAAGAAAGTCTACATATTTTTTAAAACAGCCCATTTTTATAAACTCAGTAAGTAAAAGTTTATGAAGTATCATCTTAGATTAGATTTCAAAACTTAAAGGCTCATCTCCCTCCCTGATAGATATTTTAAATGTTGTTTAGATTTCAACAGCTCAACAATTTTGGCTATGAGGAAAATGCATATATTAAGGTTACAGTTCTCCTTTATAAATTAGTGGAAAACACTGAGTTAGAAAATTAACATAGAAAGTCAGAATTACCTGAAAAATTATAACTGAAAAATATCCCTGTCTGTTTTGGAAGTCTGTCATTGTTTTCTAAATCCAATTCATAGCTTCCAAAGGAATTCAAATGCAGTTTTGGAGATGAGAAAAAATGCTTTCATATAAACCTGAACCCTGATATTCAATGAGATGGAGATGTAGTAGTCAGATTATATACATATTCAGTACTAATAAATATGTGGGACATAGGTTTCTATTAATATAAAAAACTATCTCTTTTTATTAATATTATTTTTAATTGATAAATCATAATTGCATGCATTTATGAGGTGTAATGTGGTATGTTGAATTTGTATATAATGTGCAATGATTATCAACAGATGACTGGATTTAAAAATGTCATATACACATATATGTATACAATGGAATACTATTCCACTTTACAAAAGAAGAAAATCCTGTCATCTCTGACAACATGAATGAACCTAGGGGACATTATGCTAAGTGAAACAAGCCAGGCGCAGAAAGACAAATACGTCATGATCTCACTTATATGTGGACTCTAATAAAGTCAAACTCATGGAAGTAGAGAATAGAACAGTGATTACCAGAGACTGGGGATGGAGGAGAGTGAAGGATTGAGGAAATATTGTTCAAAGGGTATAGATTTCCAATTAGATAATTATTTTCTCAAAAGCATTATTGATAGGTGATTTTCAGGTTACATGTAGGCTAAAGGGAAAAGTGAATAGGTGGGGCAAGTAAAATTTCAGTGAATTTTGCATTGACAGGGAGTTGGCACTGGTTGGAATCTTGTTATAGATGAACAATAGATCAAATAATCTAAATTGAGTGTCCTAAATGGTGTGACTAGTAGTAGCTTGATGTCAGACAGAATAAGATAGGGAAAAGTGAGTATTTCTTTAGGAATGTAGCAGAGAATTCATGTCCAGATAATCAATACCTCATAGAGCATCTATCTATCTATCTATCTATCTATCTATCTATCTATCTATCTATTATTTATATATATGAAAGACTTAGCAAAAAGTCTGACACACACTGAGTTATAAATATTAAAAGAAAAGTAATAAAATACAAGTATTTTTATCATGGGTATTATTATTATTATTTAAAAAGACAGGGTCTCTATTTCTGTCACCCAGCCTGGATTGCAGTGGCATGATCATAGCTCACCATAACCTCAAACTGCTGAGCTCAAGCAATCCTCCCACCTCATCCTCCTGAGTAACTGGGACTACATGCATGCACCACCATGCCCAACTAATTTTACTTTATTTTATTTTTGTAGAAACAGGGTCTTGCCATCTTGCCCAGGCTGGTCTTGAATTCCTAGGTTCAAGCAATCCTCCTGCCTCAGCCTCCCAAAGGACTGAGATCACAGTTGTGAGCCACCATGCCTGGCCTATTATGGAAATTATTCAATGGTAAGTTCAAAACTAAATATAGAAGGCCAAAGTAACTTCCTGCTAGAGAATAAATGCTTTGTTAACTGTTCAAGTACTGGGGAATAAAGAATAAAGAGGCAAAGTTTAGGTTTAGGTACTAACTCTGAAACTTACTAGATCTATGGTTGGTCATTAATTTGCAAAAATTCTCTGAACCTCACGTTCTTCATTTGTGAAATGTATATAGAATTTCACAAAACAATTTGCAAAGAATGTAACTTATTGTGAGAACTCAATGACATATCATTTGTGGAAGGCCTCAGTACAAGTTAAAGCTCTGTACAAATAATATTCTTCATTTTTATAACTACACAAAAATGCCATCTTGACATAAATTAGCTGATATACGCACTGTGGTCCTTTTCTGACAGTCTTGAAAATCTGTTGTTCAACATGGTCAGGATCATATCCATTTTTTATTCTTTCCTTCATTCCATGTAAGGCCATATGAATCCATAAAAAGGCCAAGTAAGTAATTTCACACTTACAACATTTCTTTGTGTTGCTATAAAAATATGGCACCATCTGAAGAGAAGAAATGAGAAAAGTGGAGATTCTTCTTATGGAAATAATATTGTAACGTTTTACGAAAAATGTACTTCTTAACAATTGCCTGCATTGTTTATTTCAATCATGATTCCTATCAGAAATACCTTACCTTTAATTCCTCCTTGATATCACTGATTTAAAACCTGCCTTATTAGTTCTCTGCCATCTTCCTCTTTAAGTGCAATTAAATATACAGGGTATGTTAGCGAACACTATCTTCAGTTATCTTCGAGATGTTTTCTCTATGGTTTATTCCTGGGGAAGGATATCACATCTGTCTTAGTTAGCTTGGACTGCCATAACAAAACACCACAAACTGAGTGACTTAGACAACAGAAATTTACTTTTCACAGTTCTGAAGTCTGGAAGTCTGGGATGAGGGTGCCAGTGTGCTTGGGTTCTGATGAGAGCTCTTTCTGGCTTGCAGATGGACACCTTCTTGCTGTATCCTCACATGGTGGAGAGAGAATGAGCAAGTTGTCTTGTGTCTCTTCTTATAAGGAAAGTAATCCTATCATGTAGGTCCCCTACTCATGACCTCATCTAAACCTGATTACCTTCCAAAGGTCCCATCTCCAAATATAAGCACATAGAAGGTTAGGTCTTCAACATGTGAATTTGAGGGTACATAATTCAGTCAACAGCATTCTGGTACTGGGCTCCAAATTCATGTCCTTCTCACATGCAAAGTCTATTAATTCCACCACGACATCACTAAAACTCTTGACTTGTTTCAGCATCAGCTCTAACATCTAAAGTCCAAAGATTCATCCAAATATCATCTAAATCAGACATGAATGAGACTCAAGGTAAATTCATTCTGAGGCAAAATTTCTCTCCAGCTGTGAACCTATGAAACCAGACAAATTATGTGCTCCCCAACTTCAATGGTAGGAGAGGCATAGAGTAGACATTTCCATTCCAAATGGGAGAAATATGGAAGAAGGGAGAGGTGACAGGTCTCAAGCAAACCCAAAATTTAGTAAGGCAAGTTTCATTAGCTCTTAAGGTTGCATAATACCCTTCTTTGGTTAGATGCTGTGCACTGCAGGCCAAATAGGGTGGCATCCTTATCCCCTTGGCTCTTCTGAGGCAGACCCACACCTTAGCCTTGGTGGGAGAGCTCCATCCACAGCATTGGTCCTGCTCTTTTAAAACCAAGATGGAGGATGAAGCCTTGCTCCTGGGGTCTGTATACTCTGGCTTGTGGTGAAATTGGTAGTCGTGATGATTTCTAAATGACCATTGGGGTACTACTTCCTTTGACTGAATTCAATCCATAGTACTGTATTCCATACCTTCTTCTCCTGATCACAACTCCTTGCTTCAGATCAGTATCTGGGTTAAAATTTTTATTAAATTTCTTATTAAAATATTTTTTATTCTTTTAGGAATGTGCCATATTATCACTGTTAAAAATGCTCTTTGTTCTAATCAAGGACTCGTGAAGAATCTATGAAAGAAGTTAACTATGAATGACCTCTACCCACCTCTAGGGAAAGCAAGTCATGCCAACCTACAACAAGATGATGTGGTAGGTTTTTTTAAATTAAAATACAAATATGATTTTTAGAGAGATTAAATATATGTTGTATAGTATAAGCAATATAACATGATCACCATACTATGGTATATATTGTTTCAGTTGTAACGTTAATCCGAAGTCTAAATTTTTTTTAATTGATGCTTTGTAATCCCAGTAGTGGTTTGGGGTTGCTGGGTCATATGATAGCTCTATTTTTAATTTTTTGAGGAAATTCCATAGCATTTTCCATAATGGCTGAACTAATTTACAGTCCCACCAACAGTGTGCAAGTGTTTCCTTTTCTCCACATCCTCATCAACACTTGTTTTCTTTTTTTCCTATGGTAATAGCCATTCTAACTGGAGTAAGGTATTATCTGATTGTAGTTTTGATTTGCATTTTCCTGATGATTAGTAATGTTGAACATTTTTTAATATATCTGTTGGTCATTTTTATGTCTTCTTTTGAGAAATGTCTATTAAGCTCTTTTGGCCATTTTTTAATCAGGTTGTCTTTTTGTTTTTGAATTCTTAAAGTTTCTTATATATTCCAAGAAGTAAGCCCTTATCAAATGTAAAGTTTGCAACTATTTTCTCCCATTCCGTAGGTTGTCTCTTTATTCTGTTAATTTTTTCCTTTGCTGTGCAAAAGCTTTTTATTTTGAGGCAACCCTATTTGTCTATTTTTTCTTTTGATTGTCTGTGCTTTTGAGGTCTTATTTTAAAAATTCTTGACCATGAACAACACTTCAAAGCCGTGAAGCATTTCCCCTGTAATTTCTTCTAGTGTTTTCATAGATTTTTGGTTTTACATTCAAGTTTTTAACCCATTTTTAGTTGAGTTTCTTATATGGTAAGAGGAAAGAACTAGACTCATTCTTCTGCATGTCAATATCTGATTTTCTCAGCACCTTTTACCGAAGAGACTGTCTTTCCTTCACTGTGTATTCTTGGCATCTCTGTTGAAAATCAGTTGGCCATATGTATGTTTATTTATTTCTGGGCTCTGCATTCTGCTTTATTGGTCTATGTGTCTGTTTTATGCCAGTACCACGATATTTTGGTTACTGTGTCTTTGCAGCATATTTCGAAGTCAGGTAGCATGATGTCTCCAGCTTTGTTCTATTTTCTCAGGATTGTTTGGCCTTTGGGGGTCTTTGTGCTTTTGTAAGAATTTTAGGATTTCTTTTTCTATTTCTGTGAAGAACGTCATTGGTATTTTAATTGAGATTGCATTAAATCTGTAGATAACTTAGGGTAGCCTGGTCATTTTAACAATAATAATTCTTCTAATCCATGAACATGGACTATTTTTCCATTTATCTGTGTCTTCAATTTTTTTCATCAACGTTTTACAATTTTCAGTGTAGAGATCTTTCACCTCCTTGGTTAACTATATTTTTAGGTATCTTATTTTCTTTGTAGCTATTGTAAATGAATTTTTTTCTTGATTTTTTTCAGATAGTTTACTGTTAACATATAGATAAGCTACTAATTTTTGTATGTTTTTTTGTATCTTGCAACATCACTGAATGCGTTTAATAGTTCTAATAGTTTTTTTGTAAAGTTGAAGTTTAAACTTTTAATATCTATTTATAGATTTTCCTTTTCTCTCATCATTTTTTTTCCATGCTTTCAACAATCCAAAACAAGGAATTTAAATACAATTCAACTTTTTGTTGTTTGAACATTAAGTTATTTTTAAGTTTGGTCTCCTGAGCTAACATTCAATATATGAAAAAAGAGCTTAAAAGTATTTAGAGAGGAAAAAATATAGACAATTGAACAAGAGATACTAATGTGGGGAAGGAAAAAAATATGGGAACTCTTTCTTCCTTAAGCTTGCATTTTTACTATATATTCTACATCTTATATAGCTTTTTCTTTCATTTTCCACCATTGAATCACCAACAAGGAAGAAGAGTGATTGTTAAAAATGAACACAGGAAAGAAGTGTGGCTGAGAAAATAAAGATGTTAGGAAAAAACAGAAAATGGAAAAAAAAGAGTTAAATCTGGTGAAAGGCTCACAGAAAAGCATGTAAGGTAATAAAGTCATCATAACACAAAATTTAGAGGAAAAGTGAGATAAAAATTTATTCCCATTTGTCTGAAAACAAATGAGGGAGAGTTAAGGGTTTATGGAAAACACTTCCCATATGGAATCTTTTATTAGTTTGTCCATTCATTCTTTTATCACTTTACCCATCATTTATTCATTAGTTTATTTGCCTGTCTCTTATTTCGTGAATCAACTACACAGATGTTCCTCAACCAAGGATGGGATTACAACCCAAGAAACTCATCATAACCTGAAAAAATCGTAAGTCAAAAGTGCATCGTCAACTTAAAATATTTTTAACATTTGATGGGTTTATCCAGACTTAACCCCATTGTAAGTTGAAGAGCATACTGAATGCCTATCACTTTTTGCACCACTGTAAAGTTAGTCAAACCTATCATAAATCAGGGACCATCTACACTAAAAAGAAGTATTAGTTTGTAAAAAATTTGTGCTTCATTGGAAAATTATGCACTGCCTAGAGCATATCCTCCCAGGTTATCTGATTCTATAGAAGTTATTTCACAACTTTCTAAGTTTTAGATAACTGGTGGCAATGCAAAATAATTCTTACCTATAGACATATAAATTCTATCTATTGGAGGTTCAGTTGTCCCCAGTTGTGGACATCCACCCATTCATTTTGTAGCAGGACGAGCTGCAGACAAAACCTCTCAGACACTGAGTTGTAGAAGGAAGGGATTTATTCAGCTGGGAGCATCTGCCAGCTACGGTCTCAAAATCCGAGCTCCCTGAATGCACAATTTCTGTTCCTTTTAAGGGCTCACAACACTAAAGATTTCACATGAAAGGGTCGTGATTGATTTGAGCAAGCAAGAGGTATGTGACAGGGACTACATGCACCGGTGGTCAGAGAGAAACAGAACAGGGCAGGGAGTTTCACAATATTCTTCTATACAATGTATGGAATCTATGAATAACATCAGTTTCTAAGTCATGAGTTGATTTTTAACTACTGGGTTTAGGCCAGGCAGCCCCAGGTCTTGTTTCGGCCCTGGCGCTGGGCTGCCTGTCTTTGGTTTTACTTCCTTGTTGTTTTTTCCTTAAAACAGATACTGAGTATAAAACAATATAAAACAGTATGAGAGGGTCTTTCTCTTCCTTCAGTTTTAATATTCTTGATTTATAATGTATCTGTTCTTTGGATTCTGCTTTGACTTGATTGTAACATCTTACTAGTTCACTTACTATTAAGTTAAATACAAATTTTTTAACAGAAGTTCATTTATCACATGTATTAGGTTGGTGCAAACATAATTGCGGTTTTGCCACTACTTTTAAAAAGTTCAAAATTTTTTGCCATTACTCTTAATGGGAAAAACCTCAATTTCTTTTGCACTAACCTAATATATGACAATCATGATTTACTCATCTAATGAAAATTTTCTTTTAATAGTATTCTTATTTTCTAAATATTAGCTTTTCAGATTTTCTTTTGGTGACCAAAGGAGAGGTTAGTAGTGTGAGAATTTGTTATTTCAGTTCTAACCTCATGCTTTATTATTACTAAGGAGATACTGCTTTGGATTTATCAGTTGACAATGTCTTTAATGTTCAAAATGTAAAGTAATGGATTAGCACTATTTTTATCAGGATATATTCACATGTATGGAAACAAGTGGGTTTCACAGTACAGAGATTTCATATCTTATTTCTTAAAGCCAGGATACATCTTTCAACTAGACAATTCACTGTGGTCCTCAATCTCTCTTCCACTCTGTCTGATTTTTCTAGTGTTATTATACTTTTAAACTAGCTGATAAGACCACTGAGTTAAATCCATCTACATACTATCAAACCACCTGATTGTCCTCTAACACTTTACCTACTGGGGTAGGATAGTATTATCCTTGCCAGTTTTGTCCTTTATCCTTTATTAATGAGGACAAAGCTCTGATTTTTTTATCTTGCCCAAATTCCTATTTAAGGAGTCTGGGGAGCCATGCCCTACAAACCATAAATTCTCATCTGATGGGCTTTACTTGACCCTATATATCGTGACTTACTTTCCAATCTGACTCTGGCATAACATTATGAGACGAGGAAAGAAATCAAAATATTTAACCCCCAAACATGTTTCTATATCTTGAAATGGCCCTGCAAAGCCATCCTTTGTGGGGGAAAAATCTGCATCTGTAAAGACTCTATTAACATAGCTAGATTTTTTTCTTCCAGGCCCTCCCAATCTTGAAGAGATTAACTAAACATCTAGCACCTTTTAACTATCTGAAGAGGAAACATTTGCCATCTATTGTTTCTAAGGGTAGCCACTATAAGACTTTAAAGGAACCTTGGTCTCCACTATCTTTTATCTTAACCTGAACATTTCTTTCTATAGATCCCAGGTCTTTAGACAAACTCAACCCATTGTCAACCAGAAAATGTTTAAATTTACTTATAGCCTGGGAGTCCCCCACCCCCACTACGCACCCCCTTCCCCGCCCGGCCCACTTTGAGTTGTCTTGCCTTTCTGAACCAAACAATGTATTTCTTAAATGTATTTGATTGATGTCTCATGTCTCCCTAAAATATATAAAACCAAGCTGTACTCCTACCTCCTTGGGCACATGTTCTCGGGACCTCCTGAGGGCTGTGTCACAGGCCATGGTCACTCATATTTGGCTCAGAATAAATCTCTTAAAATACTATACAGAGTTTGACTCTTTTCATTGACACTGAAAATCACATAATATTTAAAGCAACTCCTAGAGACATTCATATTTTTCTAAAATATTCAAAATACATATTTACATTTAAATATGGCAATTATAGGTTTTCACTTTACTGTATGCTGTACGTAGAGTTAATCAGTTTTATAGTTACATTTGAGGAAGGGGGAATTCATATTTTGGTAATATGCCTTCTGTGCTGATTTCATTATAAAATTAATTTTGTCATAATGTCAGCAGAGTTACCAAAAAAAACTGGAAAGGTGATTTGAAATAAAAGAGAAAAAAAAAGAAAGAAAAGGAAGAAGAAGAAAAGTAAACACTCTGCAGTTCCATGAATAAATGAAGACAGATCCTCTCATCATTTTAAATCCAGAGGGGATTTCCTTCTGGTAATTTACAACTGCATCAAAGAATTGGTTGTTATTTTAAAAATTACCTTAGGCAGGGAAAGAAAATACCTTAAATTAACATCATTAGAATTGCTATAATAATAGAGCATTTTAGAGAAATCTTTATTAATTTATAATAAATAAGACATTACTCACTTGTGATCTGCAGAATCAAACATTGATTTCTGATTTAAAAATGTTATTTTGTTGTTTCATTTCAAAACTGCTAAAGAAAGAAAGGAGAACAGAAGTATATTCAGAAATATATTCTGAATGTTGTATTATTGATTCAGTTCATAGACAGTCTTGTACCTAACTGGCTTTCGTGCTGTTTAATAATCCTGGAGCATCCTGGTCACATTTTTCAAAACTGTACTGAAGGAATGCTAACTTATCCATTAAGATAAAAGGCCCCAAATGTCATTCCTAACACAAAGGGATTAGGGTCTTTTTATGTAGCATCACAACCCCTCTAGGCTAAGCAAGGAAGCTGACACTCAAGTGATGGATGACCCCAATGTCTATTATGCATGGCAACACAATCCATAACCTCTGAGTCACAGCTTGAAATAACTTTTAACTGCATATATGAATTTCCTTAATAAGACTACTTCTCAGGATAACAGTTTAAAAACAAGTTCCCACATTTTAATTTCAGCACTCAGACTCCTATTTATGCATAATATGGCATTTTGATTTTTATCAAAGAGCAAATTCAGATTCAAGAGGTGCAAGAAGGTCAGTCAAAAAATGAGGTGAAAATAAAAGGCCTACTTGAGAAGTACTTCAATAAGTCTGCAGTTTTTTTTGTTTAACTTCTTCATATCTTAAATAGTTCAAAATCTCATTTTAAGTGTTCTTACCACCAAAAAAAAAAAAAAGAAAATCAAACAAACTGTATTAGTCTGTTTTTACACTGCTATAAAGAGCTACATGAGACTGGGTAATTTATGAAAAAAAAGAGGTTTAATTGACTCACAGTTCTGCATGCTTAACAGGAAGCATGATTGGGAGTCCTCCGGAAACTTACAATCATAGCACAAGGTGAAGGGGAAGCAAGCACCTTCTTCACAAGGTGGCAGGAGAGAGAGAAGGTCAAAGTCACACACACTTTTAAAGCACCAGATCTCCTGAGAACTCACCCACTATCATGAGAACAGCATGAGGGAAATCCACCCCTATGATCCATTCACCTTCCACAGGACCCACGTTCAACACATGGGGATTACAATCCCATGTGAGATTTGGGTGGGGACATAGAGCCAAACTATATTACAAACAAAACAAACAAACAAAAAACAAAAGGATGCATAGAAAATTTCAGACATGTTAGACATGTCTTTTACTTTAATTGTGGCGATAGTGTTCATGGTGTATGTATATGTATGTAGAAACTCATCAAATTGAATACATTATATAGGTAGATTTGTGTTTATCAATTATACCTCAATAAAGCTGTTAAAAATGTTAGCCTTAAAAATAAAATATTTTAGCCAGATTCATTTTCAAAAGTCCAATAATTTTGATATGTATCTCTTTTATGTTAACATGGCATGTTGAAACTGGTTGAATCTTGTGTTACTAAACTTTGTTCAGTTTTTTCATTAAATTACAACAACAACAACAACAAAAGCTTCAAGGAAGGATCATGAACCAGTTCTTCCACAGTTTGGCTACAAAAATCAGCTGATACTGACAGCTTGAGCCCTAATCAGCGGGTGCTCAATAGCCAAGAAAATGAATGAGACTTAAAATCTGAAGAGAATACTCTAATAATTCTTTTAAAAAACTGGTTATTTCTAGAAAATGCCACCACCCTAATGCAATTGATAGCAGTAGCAATCTGAAAGGCTATTTAGAAAGAATTGGCACGTCCAAATTGATTGACAATATATTATATTGATTTTTGGTTAATTTGTATGTTTGGACCTAGAAGACAGTGACCAGAAATATTAAATGCTTCATAAACTAGAAATAATAAACTAGAAAACTATTTAGAAATAAGAATTACGTTGCTAGTAAAAGCCATGTGAACTATAAATGCCCCTATATCCATTGAAACCATGTATTCAAGATGAAAACAGTATATAAAAATTTATAATTTATACTTGTCATAATAACATAAGCTATTAAAATGAAAAGATAATTTTAATATGTTTGTAATCTGTACACTGTATTTCAAGAAATCAAACACTGTTTCACTGTTAAAGAGAAGCATTATTTTGCTAATATGGGAAAATCACTAATGTAATTACATTCATGCATCATTATGATCTATAAAAATAATATACTTCTATGCTGAGGCAATTAGATCAAATTTCATGAATAAGAAATTTGGTAATGTAATAAATTGATCTTCTGGGAGATGCTGATTTTTCCTTGTATGGTTTATGGCTTTGGGCTGTGTTGCAGGAATATTTTCATATTCCTCCTGACATTGAGTAGAATGACAATGAGAAGAATAAAAAAAGAGAATACAACATTACATTGGCATTCTGTGTTGCATTTGTTGCTTGTCTATATCTGGATACATATTGTTTTGACTTTTTCTACATTTACATATTTGTTTTGTATTGCAGGATACGTATTTGGACACAATGCTATACATCCTATAATTTAATATTAAAATGATCAACTATGAAAGTGAGTAACAGATATTCTTTAATCTTTCTCTTACCTTTGGTAATGCGTGCAATTATAGTAGTCAATATTTTCTTGAAATGTGAACAGTACAATTGCAACATCATTCTACAAAGACCTCAGAAAAAAACTACCAAACATAAGATATCAGTTAAAATTCAAATTTTTTGGTTTCCAATTAAAATTTATAATTTACTTATGTATAAAATAAGAATAAAAATTCTCACTGCACACAATGTGTACGAATACAAAAGACTTTGATAGTTTGATGCATTACTGCTAGGTTTGATAGCAGAGTAGGTTTATTATTTTGTGGATGTTTATTCCCATGTCGGTTGGATGATTGCTTGTAAGTCATTTCATTCCTTGTAAAAGCCCTAGGCTGCTAAGTACCAGGCCTCACCTTCTGTTGGCCTCCTGCTTCTGCATACTTATCGATAGTAAGCTAGAAATATTTTCTTTATACTACCAACTATGTTAGTGGTATAAATAAAATAGGTTATTTTAAAGAATAACGTAGGTTATTTTAAAGAATAAAATTTATAATAGAATTATAAAAATGCACAAAATGTGTAATATGTTTACTCCATATATTTGTAACTAAAGATAAAAATGCCACAGAAGACATAAATATGGAATATTATCTAGTTATCTGTAGTTACATTTTAATTCAATTTAAAGAAGAAAGCTTTAGTTTTAGAAACCTGGAAATGAGTTATGAGTTTCAAAATTTAAAATACTTTTATGGCCTTAAAATTCCATTTCCACAGCTCTGAACTCTTCTTTCTTGATGTTATCATTTCAATAATCTTTCACCTGCCCTACCTGCATATAAAATCCTAGCTCTCCATCTTTAGGCTGTTGCTGGAGTTATTTTATTAAAATCCAAATCATGTTTAATTTCTACTCTCTTTTTTTTGTTTTACTGTTTTCTTTTTTTTCTTTTTTTTTTATTATACTTTAAGTTCTAGGGTAGAGTGTACAGGCAACCTACAGAATGAAAAAATTTTGCAATCTACTCATCTGACAACGGACTAATATCCAGAATCTATAAAGAACTCAAACAAATTTACAAGAAAAAAACAAATTTCTACTCTCTTTAAAAGTTTTGGTGGTTCTCAAATGCTGATATAATGAAAGCCAAATTTCTTAGCTTGGCCTCAGAGCCTTAAGGAACTAGTTTCAACCTGCATATTCATCTGTTGTGGCTTTCAATAAAGCACCAACAACATCAGACCCTTTTCCTTCCTTAATAGACCATTATGCTCTTAGTCCTCAGTACCCTTATTCAAGTCATTACCTTCATCTGGAATAACCTCACCCAGCCTTTCCCTGCTCTAATTCAACTCATCTTCCTATGCCCGGTTCAAATGTACCTCCACCCTGATGCCCCCTTCTTTTCTACAAAATTCAACAATAATTCTTTACATATGGAATGCTAGGAGCATATGCCACATCCTTTAATTGTCACATCTAGTAATTGAGAAAAATAAAGAGTATTTTCTACTTGCATGAACTCTGCAGTCTGGGAGAATTAGGAATAAACTCATGACTGCTCCCAAGAGGGTGACTTTGAGAACTTAATCTCTAAGCTTAAATTTTCTAAACAGGAAAACCAAGGATAATATGAGAACCCATTTTATTGGGGTTTTCTAAGTATTAAATTACTTCATGAATATAAAATATTTTGCATAGTGCCTAGTATAAATATCCATTTTTATTTCTTTACAATTATTATCATCCCAGGAACAAAATAAGCCATTGACATGCCTATGTCCTGAATCATATTTGTAAGTATTGTTGACTCAAGGAACATAAACTATTCTGCACACTTCTCTGTTTTATAAATTGTGATTCAAGAAATATTTATTGAATGAATCAATTAATCATTGAATGGCTTATATAAGGCAAAGCATTTCTGATTCTTTCCCAAAAAATAATTCAGTGTAACCATTTTTATATTATGTAAACTATTTTATTAAAATAACGGAACCAACAATTTATAAAAACCTTGCATGAAATGCTTTTAGTATTTCTTGAATTTCACATATAATAAAATGTCATAACATTTACAATCTAGTAGGATACAAATAAAATGCCTGTATTGCATTTGATAGTCAAAATAAATAAATTCTTGAAATATTGACATCAGGTAAGTTCTGAATTTTAATTTTAGATATCATAAAATATAATATGAATAATATGTATTATTAATTTCAATACTAGTAATGATAAAATTGTCACTTATTAAATACATTTTATTTTGTGAGCACTAACTCAAATAATCTTCACAATTTTTGCCCAGTATTGTTATCCTTATGTTAAGGATATAAGTTAATTCAAATCATAACCTTAAAAATAATTAGATTAAAAATATTACAACACTTCTGCTTTTGTCAGTCTGGCAAATGAAAAGTCTCACTATGAAAAGGCTTCTTATGCAAAACAATTAGTTTATGGATAAAATATATTTTTAAGACATTCCTGGGCTGGCAGAAGCATAGGAAACTGCAGAGGTTTCTTCTGTGTAAAAACAAGCAAACATAGCTAGAGCAAAAAGTCTTTAGTGTTAAGGAAATGCTCACAACCCCATCCAAGAGCAAATGCCAATACCTGCACTGTATTTTGGATTCCTAGGCTTGGGCCAGGAGCAGGTTGTTAGAGCTGAACCTGATACAGCTTTAAGTTTGAATCCTGTAAAAGAATTAAGAAATCCAAGGTTGGAAACATCTCCAGGTTTCTGACAAAAGCAATTGCCTAGTCATTCTGACATAAGGGCCTCAGGATTACCACTGATAAAAATGAATGGCTTCTGAGCTTTGACTCAAAAATCACCAAGCACAAGAGAAAACTTTCATCATGAGTGAAAATCATCAAGAAAAATAAGAGATTCATATCTCTCAGAAGACTTAAGTTATTAGAAATACCCAGAGCAGAATAGAATCTGACTATGTATAGATTTTTTAGTTTTCTTTTGACATATATATGTATATTTGTCATGCACAGCATGATGTTTTGAAATAAGTATATATTGTGGAATGAATAAATTGAGAAAGGTGAGATCACAGAAATGAGCAGTAGAGACTATCCAAAATGACTAGGCACGTTTGAAAGAGAAAGAAATGAAATCTTAAGAAATAAGAAATAAGGCGTCTGAAATTAAGAACAAAACAAAACAAAATAGGTGGTTTAGCTATCAGCTAAGACACAACTTAAAGGAAACTAGTGAACAGAATATCTGAAAAAAAAATCTATAGTATACCACTTAGATAAAAGAAATTGAAAGTATTTTTTTAAAGTTTGAAAGATAAGAAGGAAAATTATGAATGCCTAGTATTTGTCTGAGTGTCTTCAAAAATTAAGATAGAATAAAGGCGAAGTTACTTTTATAATTATAATGTTAAGAATTTTCCAGAACTGAAGAAAGATAAAAGTCTACAGAATGACAATTTATAACAAACAGCATAAACAAAAGCAAAAAGAAATGGAAACTCTGTAATAAAACTATAACAAAAAAGTGGTTTGAAATTAAAAAAGAGAAAAAAGTTCATGTATAAAAGAATGAGTATTAAACTGACAGATTTCTCAACAAAATCAAAGCTATTCAAAGAGTGAAATTATATCTTCAAACTCATGAGAGAAAATAAATGCCAACCTAGAATTCTGTACTTAACACATTTGTTTTTTTAACCTTCAACCTATGCCAGAAGTGTTGCCATTTTAACATTAAGTCATTCTGATCCATCAATATAAAATATTTTTTATTTAAGTGTCATTTAATTTTTAAACAATTATAAAATTTATTCATGAGTATTTTAATCTTTTTGACACAATTGCAAGTGGAATTATTTTCTTAATTTCATTTTGTTTGTTCATGGCTAATGCACAGAAACATAATATTTCCCACAATTGATCTACAGATTTAAGTCAATCCCTCTCAACATCCCAGACATTTTTTGGGCAGCAATTGACAGGTTGATCCTAAAATTAATTTGGAAATATAAGGGAACCATAATAACAAAAACAATCATTAAAAAATCAAAGTTGAAAGATTAGTACTTTTCAATTTAAAAACTTACTACAATGTTCAGTAATAAAAACAGAACAGTATTGGCATAAAAGTAGATATCTAGAATTATGAAATAGAATTGAGAGTCCAGAAATAAACCTTCATATTTATGGTCAACTGAATTTTGACAAGTGTACCAGGACAATGAAGAAAGAATAGTTTTTTCAACAAATTATATTGAAACACCTGGATATCCACATGCAAAAGAATGAGGCTGGATTAATACTTCACACTATACAAAAAAATTAGGTGAGAATGCATCATATGCCTAAAAGTAAGGACTAATTCAATAAAATAAAACTTACGGAAGAAAATCTAGGAGTAAAATAGCATAATCTTGAATTATAGAGTGGCTTCCTAGTTATGACATGAAAAGCACCAGCAACAAAATAAAACAGAAGATAAATTTATGCTATCAAAAGTATTACACTTCAAAGAACACTATCAAGAAAGTGAAAAGTAACCCAGAAAGGCAAAATTTTAAAATTATATGTCTGACCTGATACTTAGATTTAGAATATATAAAGAATTCCTACAACTCAAGAATAAAAAGACAAATAACTGAATTTTAAAATTGAGAAAGGTTTTGAATAGACATTCCTCAAATGAAGATATGCAAATGGTCAATAAGCACCTGAAGAGCTGCTCAACATCACTAGTCTTTAGGAAAATACAAATAGAAACCATGAGATATCACTCACACCTGCTAGTTTAGCTGGAACCAAAAAGACAATAACATGTTAATGACGATGTAAAGAAATTGGAATGCTTATACATTGCCAGTGGCATTGTAAAATGGTACAGAGACTTGGGAAAACAGTCTGGCAGTTACTCAAAATGTTCAACACTGTTATATGACCCTGCAAGTTCACTCTTAAATATATGCCCAAGTGAGTTGAAGCATGTCCACACAAAAACTTGCACATGAATGTTCACAGCACCATTATTTATAACAGCCATAAAGTAGAAATAACCCAAGTGTCCACCAATGGATGACTGAATATAGAAATGTGATATAGCCACAAAATTGATTTGTTTTTGTTTTTGTTTTTGTTTTGAGATGGAGTCTCGCTCTGTCACCCAGGGTGGAGTGCAGTGGTACAAGCTCGGCTCACTGCTACCTCCATCTCCTGGGTTCAAACAATTCTCTTAACTCAGCCTCCCGAGTAGCTGGGATTGCAGGCATCTGCCACCACACCCAGCTAAGTTTTGCATTTTTAGTAGAGACGGGGTTTCACCATGTTGGCCTGGCTGGTCTTCTCAAACTCCTGACCTCAGGCAATCCACCCACCTTGGTGTCCCAAAGTGCTGGGATTACAGGCGTGAGCCACCCAGCCCAACCAATGGAATATTAATTGACTATTCAAAGGGATGAAGCATTGATAGCAATACAGTGTGAATGCACCTTAAATATATATGTTAAGTCGAATATACAGAACATTACATTTTAATACAGAGGTTAAAATATAGTGTGAAATTTAGGAGAGTAATTTAGGTATAATATTTTGCCAAAAACAGATTTTAAAAGGACCGATAACTTCTTGATTGGGTCACAAAGCTGCATTAGGTTTTTAATGTAGAGAATTGACCACTAAGTAATGAAGTTACTTCATTATGGCATAATATAATGCCATAAATACCATAAAATAATACTACCCTTTGTGAGAAAGTTAGCATGAGTGCCAAATAATGTATAAGATCTATATTCAATATTCAAACATCTATCCTTCTAAGCCAAGAAACTCAAAGAGAAAGATAAACTCAGATGTGAGTATTTGCTTTCCTCATGTATTAGACGTCTCGTGTAACTTAATTATCACTTTATCTTTTTTATGATTTAGGAGTTCTGGTTAAAAAATGTTTTCTGTTAAATGAATCTGCATTATAACATTACATTTTCATTCTGACTTAGGGATGGAGTATTTATTGTATTTAAGAGATATAAGCCAGATTTGTTTTCTTTAAAAAAAAGGAAAACATCTCTTAAGTCATATTGACTGAAAGCAAATTGTTTTTTTTTTAAATCTTCACATATGAATTTATAGCTTAATTCTATAAAAATTGTTGTGTGCTAGCCATTCAGAAAAACGCACCAGCACACAGTCAGTAATATAATCTCTGCCACCATAACCTAGAGAATGCATAATAGCCAAACAAGGCATAATATCTAACTGAAAATAGCAACTCGATGCTGGCATTTTGCAATTCCAGATGGTGTCTATGGATGCTGATTTTAGTGGAGAATTGTCAGTTTTCATGGGAGAGGCTCTTGAACGATTGCATCAATATTTCAATTCTAACTATTGGCTATATAGCCTTAGAAAAAAGTAATTATATATTCTGCAATGAAAAATGCATGGTTAACAGGATTCAATTAGTTCTTTGAGTGACTCTATGCAATATTTCTTTTGAGAAAATTAATATATTTATTTTCTATAAAAAACCTGTTAGTAGAGAAGTTTTCTTTCTCAGAGCTAAAATATCAAAGGCAGTATAAGATTATTTATGTAATTCATAAATACAAAAATATTAATAAAATTTATAGAAAATCTTAAGTAATTTATAAGTATTATTACATAAGCTATGGTGAATCTGATGATGGAGACAGGAAATTTGAGAAATATTCAAAGTCATAGAAATCTTCAGTTCAGTGGTCAAATTTATAATGCACTCTGCCTACAATATGTACCATTAATAAGTCTATTATTAAAATGTTAAGCCAAATTTTTCAGTGTTTATTGAGGCAAGAATAGAAAAAGCAGGATAGAAAGTTATTTATTTAACAAGCATTTTTTTGTGAAGATCAGTACAGGCCCCTTACATTGGAATGGGTGGCTTGCTTCCACACTAGACTTTCTGACTCCAAATATTTGGGCATAGTAACTAAAGAAAGCTTCAACAAACTTCCCTGGTGATTGTTTTGCACCCTTATATTTGAGAGTAATGGGTATAGGGAGATATTCCTTCATTGCTTTAAGGAGTTAAAGCAATATTCCTTCATAGTTGATACTTCTTCATAGTTGATATTCCTTCATTGCTTTAAGGAATCTTTATGCACAGTTAGCTATCAAACCATGAAAGTCAGTGCTTTATAATGCAAAAGAATACAATGAAAATTTTTATTGACCTTGAGCAAATCACTTTCCTTCCTTAGGCTTTAGTTCCCTCAACTATAGAATGAGACAGTAAGCTAGATAACTTCTGGTGAGCCTTTCTATTTTATCATTCTATTGAAATCTGGTGCTAAAAATTATGTAAGCTTGTAGTATGCTATGTTCAAGGGATACAAAGATTCTATCACACATATAGGCATATTCATTCATAGTCTCATTTCAAATGAAAATTTACTAAGCCCTAAATTTATAGAAATCAGAAAATGACATATGTAAAGATATATGAAAGGAAATAGCACTGTCATTAATTGGTACAGAGATTTCACTTCTGCTCCCTCTAGAATACTGTAGTCTGGTTGCTTCTCCAGAAATATCACACCTGAACTTTGGAGTAGTCACTAAGAAATTGTAAAAGTTCTTCATTAAGGAACACTGCTTACTGTGAGCTCGTTCTCTCTAGAAGCAGATATCTGAACACACTGGATTAATTTTTTACTCAAAATCTATTAAAAATAACCGTATGTTAAAGCATCCACTTAAAACTTATTGCATGGTCTGAACAGGATGACTTGGAAGTAAAAATATACAAATATTAAAACAAAGCAAAAAAAAACACTTCTGCATTACTTTCTCCCACTATGTCATTAGATTTCACCTTGCACTGTTGAAGAAAGTGATGCTCTATGCAGTTACCACAGGAAATTTCTCAAAAACGTGAAAACTGGTATGGCCTAGGCAATACATGACCAGAATGACACTTGCATTATTGCATAGTTCATAAGCAAAGAAAATTCCTTCTATAGCTGAGATCTATAATAACTCAAATCTCTCCTTTGGTTTAAAAGGCTTGCTGAAGTTTACACACATGGGACCAAAGTGCTACTAAAATAACTACTTTGGTCTCTGTATGGAAACTGGATCATTCACTCTCTAAATTTTCCTGTTTTTTCAGAAAGAGACCTTTGAAAGTCTTTGCTATGTGTTGGAGACCAATAGTATTTCTTGCCATTTCACTTGTTTCCCTTTATCTGATAATATTAAATTCCCATTTCTAGGCTTGTGAGAGCATTTTCTGAATTCCAATGTATTGATTGAGGTTTACAATTTCCCAAACAGCTTTTGTGGAGCTCTGGAAATATTCCACTCACAACTCTGAGCCCTCTATTTCTGTATTTGTTTTCTTTTATTGGATTTCAACATTAACAGGTGTGCCAGGAAAGAATAATAATGCCTAATCTATTTTCATTTTGACAATATAGACTGGGTATATTTTTTCCTCTTTGTAGATTTGTAAATTTTAATCTTGAAAATGTTAAATTGATTAGTGTCATGTGGGTCTGTCATTTAGAAGCCTCTGATCTTTCTCTTTTTCTCCATGCATTTCTCCCTGACTCATTGGAAGTACCTTATCAAATTTCTAAGCTTTTTAACTTTTGGTAATTTGTTTTTTCTTTCTTTCTTTTTTTTTTTTTTGGAGATGGAGTCTCACTCTGTCACCCAGGGTGGAGTGTGGTGGTGCAATCTCGGCTCACTGCAGCCTCTGCCTCCTGAGTTCAAGCTATTCTCCTGCCTCAGCCTCCCGAGTAGCTGAGATTACAGGCACCCACCACCACGCCCAGCTAATTTTTGTATTTTTAGTAGAGATGGGGTTACACCATGTTGGCCAGGCTGGTCTCAAACTCCTGACTTCATGATCTATCCTCCTCAGCCTCCCAAAGTGTTGGGATTACAGGTGTGAGTGACTACGCCTGGCCACTTTTTGTAATTTCTTTTGATTTTTTTTAGTACTCTTCCCTTTTTTGTTCTTCCCTTATGTTGAATAATTCTCAACTATTCATAGTTCAATTCTAAACAATAAAACTAATAAAAACGAACAAATAAGTACTTTGTATTTGTCGAAGATCAAAAGACAAGGTTTGCAGTGCAGGCATCTGGTATTAGGTAAGTACGTAATAGCTCTTATAACTAACACATCTTAAAATCTTAGTACCTTTCATAATAAAAATGTATCCCTTGCTTATACAACCATGCCAAGAAAGTGTTCTTCATCAGGGTATGGGGAAGTTTTTTGTCATAAGCTGTCAGACATCAAACCAAGAGATTCCCTTTTTGCCAGCCAGCACAAAGAGCAAGAGATAGTGGAGAAAGCATATCTGCCTCTTGTTCATTTTGAGACAGTGATATATGCCCCTTCTCTTATTCCATTGGTGAAGACTAGTCAACTGGCTCCATCTAGCTGCAAAGGAACCTGGGAATTATTCTTCCTATCTAGACGGATGACTCTTAGCAGCAATGAATGACACTATGGAAAACAAGCGTGAATCTTTGGTAGACAGATGCTTTTCCTATTTGGCAGAAATGAATGGGAGATTCATAGCAAATGCATCAATTCACATTTCATTTCCACTATTCTAGGCTATATTTAATCATAGTCACTTTTTGAAGTCAAACACTTATTCTCCATTGTAAAGAGGGATATGCTATTCAAAATTCTTGTAATTCAGAGCATTACTTTTATTTTGAATATTTTATACCTCTCAAAATTTAGAAATATGGTAACATATATTTAGACATTTTGGAAAAACTGAGTAGTGTGGGGCTTTATTATTTCACTTACGAGCATTAATTAACTACTTAAACATATATTACACTATGTGATCCTTTCATTATGGTACGGTGAAAGAGAAAAAAATAGTCTATTTACTGAGTGAAGATTTTACCCCTTTTGGTTTCTTTACTCAATCATAAAATGACACTAATAATGGCTCATCCAACACACTTGTGCTGATATTATAGTACTCAGCTTCAAACTTTACATTATGGTTTCTTGCACAAGAAAAAATGTCCCATAAATTTCTGACCTATTTAAAAGCTTACATTTTAAACAACAAAAAAATGAAAGCTATAAAGAAAAAGGAAGAGAAAAAGAAAAGAGAAGTAAAACAAAAAAGTTAACTGCAATCTTGAGCAGAGAACTTCTATTGTACGTTATGGCCCTTGAGACGAGGAGCCTTTGTCATTCATTCACACCTTGGTTTCTGCTGCAGTGCCTCAATAATATCACAATACTTAAAAAGGAATTGTGAACTGTTTATTGAATTACATTATTTATATCATATTCACAATGAGAAAAATGTATAATAAGGATGCTAGTCAAGTGTATAATTTATATGTTTTTTATACTCATAAAGTATTGTAGAAAAAGAGAGTTTTGTTGCCTGATCAAAGAAATCTTCTGAGAGAAGATTGTAGTTCAGAAATGATTTTTTTTTTTTTAATAGGGTCTCCCTCTGTCACCCAGGCTGGAGTGCAGAGGTGCAATTACAGCTCAGCCTTGACCTCCCAGGCTCAAGTGATTCTCCCGCCTCAGCCTCCCAAGTAGCTGGCATACAGGTGTGCGCCACCACGTCTGGCTAATTTTTTTGTATGAAACGTGGGGTTTCATCATGTTGCCGAGGCTGATCTCGAACTCCTGGGCTCAAGTGATCCACCCACCTTGGCCTCCCAAAGTGCTGGGACTACAGGCTTGAGCCACTGTGCCCGGCCCAGAAATTCTTTAAGCTATACAAATAATTCTACAAATTTACATTCAGATTACAAAATAAACATTGCTATAAATACATTTCAGCAGAGCCAAGAAGCAATTAATAAAGTTATAAGCAAAACTGGTTTTTGTACTCCTTGAGCATATTATGCAAATTTCATGTTGAAATTAAAATTTCTCAAATATAAAGTTCCTTTGTGTTGAGGAAACAATCCAATCACTGTCATAAACCCTGTTACTTATATGCAATTAAGTCTTACATTCTTGCAAATCATTGAAAATCTTAAATATCTCATAATTTAAAAGTTGTTCATATGTAAGGTTTAGTGAACTGCAGAAATCAATAGCGTATTCTTATGTGAATGTTACTGCATACTTCCCTAAAAATAGGAATATGTCCTTTTTATTTAAAGTAAAATAAAGTGGAATTTTACAATATATTGCATTAATTTTATAAAGGTGGACAGAAACTTTAGTTACTTTGCATTAAAAACATTTTCTTAGGAATATATTTAAAGGTATAATCTATGTAATAGTTAGATTTTCAGTTTTTGAAGGTAACCATCGTTCTCTCAAAATTTCCTTTCAAATATTAGAAATATAATTATTAGATTCTTTCAGTTGCAACCAAATGAGTGCTTTTTCTTTTGGAAATACACTTTTTATCATTCTGTAAGAAAACCTGATGAATACAATTTTTTTCCAGTTAATTTAAATTCTCCGTCAAGATTATGCTTTATTTTACACACACATACACACACAGAGATAAGCACAAACACATTTATTGCTTTATGTAAAATAATTATATTATCAGACTAATAAAATGAATATAGTTAGTTACACCCCTCCCTATTATACCTGAATTACCCAAACAATTGCTTTTGCACAAAAACACAGAGCTTGTTTAACAGACACATAGGCAGAATAGTGTATGTTTTAACATCTCTGTACATTATTTTTTTCTCTTCATATTTACCAGGATATGTGATTCACCAGTTATAGATTTCAGGACTATTGACATTGCTTTAGAGATTTTCTGAGAAAGACATTTAGTCTTCAAGTGTTAAATGCAAACATTTAACACAGAAAGATGAAGTATTATCCTGAGAAAAGCAAAAAACTCATCTATTTTTATTTATATAAGATTCTGTTATTTTCTTATGGTAAGCAACTACAAGCCTCAAGGTTTCATTAGATAAGTAATTTATATTCAATGATAAGGATGTTACCTTTTAATACTACTCTCAATTATAGGTCTATCAATTTAGATGACAGTTACTAATGTGTCATTTAAAATTAACGGCTTAGTCAGTGTTTCTCAATTATTCTGAGATTAATATTTCCCAAGGTAATAGTAGGAGGAGAAAAATATATTTTGAGACATTTTATGGGTAGAGTTGAAAGCAAATTTTGTCAAACAGGATTTGGATAGACATTTAATGTCTCCTTTCTATGTTAAGAACATGGTGTCAGGCCAGACGTGTTGGCTAATGCCTGTAATCCCAGCACTTTGGGAGGCCGAGGTGGGCAGATTACTTGTGGCCAGGAGTTCAAGACGAGCCTAGCCAAAATGGCAAAACCCCGTATCTACTAAAAATACAAAAAATGAGTGGTTTGGTGGTGAATCCACCTGTAATCTCAGCTACTTGGGAGGCTGAGGCAGGAGAATCGCTTGAACATGGGAGGTGGAGGTTTCAGTGAGCCGAGATTGCACCACTGTACTCCAGCCTGGACAACAGAGTGAGACTCTGTCTCTCTAAAAAAAAGAAAAAAAAAAAAACAACAAAAAAAAACCATGGTGTCTCCAGTTAGTCAATGTTGAGATAAATTAATAAAAATTCACGTAAACTTTTAGAAAAGAAAAACATATTCACAATTGTAATCAGTTTGGAATTGAAATTGTCAGTGGAAAGAAGAAATATGATTGTTGTCAGTTAGTTTTAAATATATTATGTATACCATATTTTCTTCACACAAGAAAAACTGCACTGCACAAATATTGATGACTAAGAAAATAAGTGCTTGGAAAGTTCTTATTTAAGAGAAGATGGCAAAACAGGAAATGCTTCCCTCACTGAACAATCAAGAGATGCCACAGAACAAGAAGATGTTTTTTGAATAATTTCTCAAACTATGAGAAAGGCTTGTGGAGGCTGAAATGGGTAAGAAAAAGAGAGGGAAATGGCAAAGAAAATACCTGAGTAACACTGAAGGAAGATAGGTATTGATAGAGTTTCCACATATTCTTGGAATCATTTTTAGGATCATTGCTTTCACTACACCATCTTAGTGCAAAAAGCTGAAAGATAATGTCAATTAACTCTGCCAAAAATATTAGTAATAAGTAAAGAAAATCAAAGAATGAGAGAAATATGTAGAGATATGACAAAAGTAGACGTAACACTTTTGTATAATATAAGCACCAGAAGAAGATAAACTGATATGGTGAAAGTAATAATTGTGATAATAAATAATAACCAAAAATTTTCCAAATTAAAGACAAATTGAATTACGCTAAATTGAATAATGTCAAGCAAGATTGAGAGAACAAAAAAAAGCAAAAATGAAAATAATGACCAAACCCGTATACATTTTATTAAAACCTATATCAAAGAAAAGTAAAAATTCTAAATTCCTAAGTAGAAAAAACAGTTCACTCAACAAGAAAGAGAAAGTAAATCTGACATCAGACTTTTGAACAACAACACTGGGTAAAAGAAGACAATGGATTTTTGGCTTTAGAGTTGAAGAAAAATAACTCTGACTTCAAACTTAGAATGTTATATGTAGCTACCTATTATTTAAATAAGAGGTTATATCATCTAGGTTCTAAAAAAACCTCAGAAATATTGTTACACAACAGTCTTGTTTGAATGCAAAAGACAGGAATTATTCTATGAAGAAGAATACTTAAACTGAAGTGTATTAAAATATATGGGAATGGAAGATGAATATAAAATTAGTCAGATTTTCCATTATCTAACTAAGTGAGGAACTTAAAAATATGATACTTAACAATCTACAAATACCATTTTCGGTAATACTGACATGGCAGGTATGGGACAGGAATATTAATGAGGGTGGGGACTTATAGGTATTTGCCCTGAGTGCAGATGGAGGTAGAGAAGATGGAGTGGGATACATAGTTAAATTTAAAACATTTTAAAGTAAAAAACAGAAATAATTGTGGGTTATGATAATTTAAGAATAACTATAATGTGGCTAAAATATAACATATAGCTCTTAAACGAGAAGAATATTTGATTGATCTAATGAAAGGCAAGCATGCAAATGGTGAGCCACTGCTTCTGGAGAAAGCCCCAAAACATTCCTTCTGTCATAAAAGCACAAAGGGGAAAAACCTGTTTGACGCTGCAGAAAAGTGGGAAACCTTTTCATGTTCAACATTTTGCACTGATGCAAAGAAGTTTGCTATTTCTGAAAGAGGGACAAAAAAATACCCTAATGCACAAATGCCATTCCAGCTTCCATTCACCAAAATAGAGGGGAATGCTTGGCTACCAAGTCTGGGAGGAACAATCATTCTGAGAAAACCCTGCCCTTGATGCTCAAGTGCACAAGTTTTTCATGTGACTCAACCTTAGGAGAAATTAAAAACAGTTTTTAACTTCACCACAAGCCTTGTACTGCACAATAAGCAGCAGCAGTCTGTTGTTGTGGGAGACAAGTGTGGAGACAGAACGCCATCTGTGGCACAGTCAGAGAGAGCAATTGGAAGACTTTTGGTGGCAGAGTAAAACCACTTAGAAAAACTCTCCAATATCCAAGGCCTCAAGCCTTACATCAGCACCTGTGCTCCATCTGTGGAGAAATTTGAAGTCTGTTGTTCACTGTAGGAAACTATAACAACAATAAAACTATCCCTAATTCAAATACTGCCAAGGTTGACTCAACCATCCACACTAATGGTCTAACAGAAAAAGTGCCATTTCTATTTATGAGGAAAAATACTATTCACTTGTTTCCACTGTTTTTTTACACAAAATATCCAAAAGTCAAGAAAGATCTATGAGATGAACAGAGGAGCAAGAAAAAAGATAAGATATCAGAACAGACACACAGACTGTCCAGATATCAGCATCTAAATAACTATGATTAATATATTAATACATTTAGTGTAAAATGTGGGCAAAATAAATGAATAAACAGGGAATTTAAGTAGAGAAAAGAAAACACACACACACACAAAGAAACCATTTTAACTGATGCTCAAAAATATAATATCAGAAATGAAGAAATTCTTCCCATGGGATTTTTCAGTAGATTTGGCCTACCCGAAGAAAAAACCAAAGAACTTAAAGTTAGGGCAATGGAAGTCATCCACATCAAAGCACAAAGTGGAAGGAAAAAAAGAAAAGAGAGTAGCAGAAACAACATAGAGCATCCAAGACCTGTAGGACACAGGCAAGTGAGCTAACATGTGTAATTGGAATTTCAAAAGTAGAAAACAATGAGAACAATGAAGCAGTATTTGACTATATAACAGTCACACTGTTTCAAAAATTAACAAAAGACAACAAAAGCTACAAATTTAAAGTGCTCAGAGATCACCCAAATAAAAGTACACAGAAAAACACACATACATTATCATCAAACTTCTGAAAGCCAAACAGAGACAAGTTTGAAGGTGGCCAGAGGAAAAATGTAATATTGTTTACAGAAGCAAAAAGATAAGAACAATGAGAGGCTTGTGTTCAGAATTATACAAGTCTGAGACAACAGACAGTTAATTTTAAAGCACGAAGAAAAAAAAAATAAAACATGGCCTGCAAATGTCTATATCCATTGAAAATGTCCTCCAAGGTGAGTGTGAAATAAAAATATTTCTAGATTTAAAAGCAGAATAATTGATGGCTAGAAAGCCTTCCCTAAAAGAATGTTAAATTTTTATAGGAAGAATGAAAATGATATCAAATGAAAATTTGAATATACACAAAAAATTGGAAAGTGTCGGAAATGATAAAAATACTGATAAAAATAAAAGGCAATTTTTACGTTTTTAATTTCTTTATAGCAAATGAGGTTAAATGTTTTGTGCAGCTTCTAATAACTGTAGAAATACAGTAATACAAAGGCTAGAGGGAACACAGAGAACACTTTTGTAAGATTCTTATTCTGTACATGAAGTATATGTATATGAAGGGACAAAAACTCAACCAAATAACAAACTGGTCATTTAACATTACCTAATGATGAAAGGGCTAATTTCTCAAGAAGAAACAGTAACCTTAAGTGTGTATGCACCTAAGAACAGAAGTTCCAAAACATAAAGCAAAACAAATAGAAATAAAAGGAGAAATAGATGAATCTACAGTAACTGACTGAAAATAGACAAAAAACTCATTAAAGATATAGAAACACTATAAAATCAACTTGCCCTTCTATAGACAACTCTGCCCCAAACAGTAGAATTATGTGCTTTCCAATAGCTTTAAAATTATCTAAATAAAGCAGAGTATGTTATTTTACCACAAAAAGTAAAACTAGCAATTTATAATATTTCAATCAGGCCAATTTTGTTAATCATGTTTCTAAAATTTTCCACATTAGAATAGATTGCTTCTTCTATTGGTTACTAAAATGTGTCATAAACATTTCACAATATGCGAGTGATTTTGTCTATTTTTCTTTTTGTGTCTATTATATCCTGCTTTATATATTTCAAGATCATGTTAGTAGGTGAAAACAAATTTAGGACTGTAATATTTCCTGATTGATTGATCTTTCATTTTGAGGAAATATTCCTCTTTATCTTCAATAATGCTTTCTTATCTTAAAGATTTGCATAGTAACTATACAATTACAAAACTAATTAATTTTTGCATAGCATAACCTGTTCTGTTCTTTCACTTTCAATATTTTTGTGTCTTTATGTGTAAGGTCTACCTTTTGTAAACAGCAATCTTGTTTCTCTTTGATTTTGTAATGTTGGTCTTTTAATTTAATCATTATTAGATTTTTAAATCTACTGTCTTACTATCTTTTTCATCACATTGTTTTATGCTCTTTTTTCTCTTAGTCTTGCTTTCATTTAGCCAAAATATTTATAAGCTTCTCTCTTTTTTTTTCCTGTCTTAGTTTGTCAGTATTACATGCTTTTATTATTCTTTTGGTCATTAGCCTAATGACTAAAATGTGCATTCATGATTTACTAAAGGATAAGACTTTTTCCACTTCTTAGACATTGCAAGATGATAAAACACTTTGTTTATATGCTATAACTTTTACTACTATTTATGTGGATTTTATTCCTTTATGTATTTTAAAGCCTAAAGACATTGTTATTATTATTTTTCCAGACAATATTCATTTAGAATTATCCACATATTTACACTAAACAGTATATACCTCTTTACTCCTTCCTGTTTTTTTTTTCCACATCTGGATTTTTTTATTGAATGCTGACAATTGTTTACAAATATTGAGCTATTTCAGGCTCTGGATATTGTTATCTTCCTTCAGTAAGGATTTACTTTGATTATGAGAGGAGATTAAACTAAGAGAGAATCATGTTAATCCAGTTAGAGGTTTAGTTGATTTGAAATGGAGTATAAGCCTTTGTGAGCGTTATTCTATTTCTCATTCATCAGAATAGGCTAATAGTCTGTCATTTTCAGTATCAAAACCTTCTATGCAGACATTGAATTCTGTATTTCACCAAGAAAACCTGTAACAGATTGTTGTTATCAAATAGTATTAGCAATTTCAATGCAAAATAACAATTAGTGGTTATGATTAAGTTTTTCCTCTGTGTACGGGACAGGTCAATATGGCCTGACTTCCTAAATATTGTATTAGGAGGAACTGGAACCAGTATCAGAACTGCAAACTCTTATGATGTAGAAATATTGACAAGCTTGTGCCTTAGGGCAATGGCAGAAACATGTAATTCAGATGCAAACAGAACAAAATCATAATGTAATGCAAGATTTACTGGAAATTGCAAAATTGGAATGGAATTAGTGAAGCATTTGGAATTGGGTAGCTTGGAATTTAATTCTGTTGCAACAAAATAAAGAGTTGTCACAGTCTCTCACCTGTATAATAATGCTACAACTAGCTATTAAAAAGCAATAAATATATTTATTTTTACCTACTTATACAAGTAGTTAGATATTTTGCATGGTGCTATTTATGGAGAGAATAAGGGATGGTGTAAAAAGTTTGCTTCTATTAGAAATAGAAAGGCTGAAATTTTACATTTGCATGTTGAAACTACTAAAATCTAAACCAACAATGATTAAAGGATGTATATTTTACTCCATACTGATATAAAACAAATATGTTATATGAATGCCTGAATTCTAGAAGATTTAATTATTTTTTATTCAAATGTAGCTATTGCAATAAAAAATATGAGAAATGGCCCTTTGAATGGGTTTGTCTCAAGATTCGGGATAAACTGAATCCTGTTTCTTACAATTTAACGGCTTTAACTTCCAATGCATATCTCATAATAAAACTTTACTAATGTATAATGGGCTTGGTGGAATATGTGTGTCTCTTATTAAAAATATGAATTGGAAAAATAGAACTGCTTCTATTGGCCCTAAGTTTAACCTATAAGTATAAAATAACATGTAATAATGGACATTCATTCACAAGAGGTATATTCAGCTATGAAGAAAAAGTTCAAATCAAAGGTTTAGACTACCAAGCACTTAATGTTGATTATGCATTAGGTAACAATTGGGAAAAACTAAAAGAGCTGAAAGAAAAAATATCAAATTGTAAAGAACTTAGAAAAACAAGCTATTAAAATTAACCAATAATTTATAACACTTTTATATGATGAGAGAGAATTCCTACATATAGCTAATGAAGAATCTGCTTTAACTATATATCACTGGTATATTATTTCCAAAAACTACTCATCTAAAGCTAATATCTCTCTTAATTTTATAATTCATCCTATTATAACATTAATTTTGCTTTCTTATGTGTTCTACTTTGGGCTTTCTTGATATACAGACAATTAGGAATAGTTTAAAAAGATATCAACGCTGTAATGCAAGTTGTACAGAAAATCTGATACTATGAAATAATACCAAAAGTTGGAATGATTGTGGGAAATTGAATTTAATATAATCTTACTGAAGAATGTTGAAGACTCTGAGTAACCACAGGTATATTCAAGCAAATCCACTGTCAGAAGTAACTGCAGGAGATACCGACAAAGAATTATAAAAATCAGATGTCAGAATACACTTACTGTAATTATTGATATAAATGGGATAACTATTGAGTTTATTAATAGTGCAATGATATATGACAACTGTAGTTTTATGAATTCTGGTATGTAAGCTTTTTGTTAATTTTTAGCTTTTTTGATGTAGGTGCTTAGTGCTATAAACTTTCCTCTTAACATTGCTTTATCTGTGTTTCACAGATTCTACAAGAATTGGGGCATCAATCCCATTTAAATTCATGGTTACTATTGATATGTGTGGATTTGATCTGTCATCATGTTTTTAGCTGGTTATTATGCTGACATGATTGTGTAGTTGCTTTGTAGTGTCAATTGTGTATGTCCTTAAGTGTGTTTTTGTGGTGATCAGTAATAGTGATGGTAATGAATTTCCTTAGCATTTGCTTGTCTGAAAAAAATCTTATTTCTCTTTTGCTTATGAAGCTTAGTTTGTCTGGATACGAAATTCTTGGCTGGAATTTCTTTGCTTTAAGAATGCTAAATATAGGCCCCCAATCTCTTCTGGCTTGTAAGCTTTCTGCTGAAAAGTCCACTGTGGGCCTTACGGGGTTTCCTTTGTAGGTGACCTGCCCCTTCTCTCTAGGTACCTTTAATATTTTTTCTTTCATCTCAACCTTGGAGAATCTGATATCTATGTATCTTAGGAATGGTCATCTAGTATAGTATTTTGCAGGGGTTCTCTAGCCTTTCCTGAATTTGAATGCTGGCCTCTCTTAGCAAGGTTGGGGAAATTTTCATGGACAATCTCTTGAAATATGTTTTCAAAGTTCCTTGCTTTCTCTCTCTCTCTCTCTCTCTTTTTCAGGGGTTCCAATGAGTCATAGATTTGGTCTCTTTACATAATCCTGTTTCTCCCAGAGGTTTTGTTCATTCTTTTTAATTCTTGTTGTTTTTCTTTTTGTCTGACTGAGTTAATTTGGAGAAATAGTTTGAGCTCTGAGAGTCATTCCTCAGTTTGGTCCATTTTACTGTTAATACTTGCAATTGTATTATAAAATTCTTGTAGCGAGAACTGCAGCTGTATCAGTTCAGTTTGAATTTTTCTTAAAATGCCTATTTCTTCCTTTAGCTCCTGTATATTTTGTTGTATTCTTTAGATTCCTTTGATTGGGTTTCAACTCTCTCTTGAATCTCAATGATCGTCATTCTTATGCATATTCTGAGTTCTATTTCTGTGATTTCAACCATTTCAGGCTAGTTAAGAACCATTGCTGGGAAATTACTGTGGTCTTTTGGAGATAGGAGGACACTCTGGCTTTTTGAGTTGCCAGAGTTCTTATGCTGGTTCATTCTTATCTGTGCAGGTAGATGATCCTTTAATCATTGAAGTTGCTGTCCTTTGGATGCTTTTTATTTTTCTCTCATCTTCTGATGCCATCTAGAGTTTGATTGTGTTATATGGTGAATTCAGTCAGCTAGTTTCCTTTCTGGAAGATTTCATGGGGTCAAGATTCAGCTTCGCAATCCTAGCCTGCATGTTTTAATTCTGGGGTGCTGGTTCCAGTTTTCTAACTTTGTTCTTTGAGCTCTCGAGGTTAGCAACCTCCTGTGCTAAAGGGGCAGATGTGTTCCTGGTCTGCTGTCCACAACACTCTGAAGGGGAGTTCTGGCCAAAGTGCTTCCTTGGGGCTATGGCAGCAGGATCTGTACTTGCTCATGCATGCCAGTATTAATGGTGGCATGGTGTGGTGCCTGTATGTCATCTGGGGTGGGGAGCTGGTAGAAGTAGGATGGTGGAGTCCATATGCATGCTGGCACTTCTGATGGCAACTGCAGAGGCTCAGTGGAGGTAGGGTGCTGGTAGGGGCAAGGTGCAGGCATCTGTGCACACACTCTCTCAGACAGAGGCAGTGGCACAGCAGGGGCGGGGCGCCCGTGGGAGCAGGGTGCCAGCATCTGTGCACACATTTGTACTAGCAGTGGCAGTGCAGTGCTGCCCCAGCATAAGCCGGGGGTGGGGGGGGGGCGATGCTGGCAAGGGGCAGGGCAGCAGGGTGCACTCACCCCAGCAATAATGGGACAATGGGCTGTGTGTGCACACAAGCACCAGCAGGGCAGAGGAGACAAGGTCCTCTCATGCTCAAAGCATTTGGAGGAGGCTATGGGCAAATGCATGTTGGCAAAGCAGCAGGGGGGAAGATGCAGGTGGGTGGGTCCACGTTGGCAGGGGTCAATCTGTTGGTGCTCCCCCATGATATTATGTATGGTCTTCTGGCAAAGGAGGTTTGATGATAGCTCCCAGGAAGCTCCCCAGTTGGGCATCTGAGGCTGTGCTGAAAGCAGGCATGGCCAGGCTGGGGCCCCAGACAGAGGAGTGCTCAGATTAGACTGGCCCCATCCATTGGGCCAGACCACCCTTTTCTGTTCAGGTCTGACATTCACCCGAAGGCTAAAGCCACCTAGAGGGGTACAGTGAGCCTTGGGGAGTAGGCATCCCTGTCTGTGCTCCACTGCAGCCATACCCACATCAAACACTCTGGTTTCTGCAGAAGCTGGACTCCTGCCCTTACCACCTCTTGAAGCAGCTCTCCCTACCAGCTCAAGTACCCATGAGGATCCAGGAGTCTCCTGCAGCTAGGATTCTGGAAGTCCATGGCAAGAATGGGCTACTCCTCACCTGTTCACCTCACCCCTTTCCTAGGAGCCACTGGGCACCAGGAATGAGTTGCAGTGCTCAGCAGCCCAGTGCAGGGTTCCCATCTTTCTCCCACTTCAGCCCAGTGTCTGTGTCCTCCCTCCATCTACTTTCAATGCCTTCCCTCTGAAGGTCTCCTCAGAGTGTGCCAGGCTCCCCAGTGTCCCCGGCTCTCAGTGAGACATGTTCCTTCCAGCTGCATCTATTCAGGCATCTTGGCTCCCTCACAAAAAATCTTTTTGAATAAGTAGTTAAAATTTCTTAATTATATCTTATGTTATGCATGTTTTTCCTATTGCCCATTATTCCCCCTCGTTTAGAATTGTCACAGATTTATTAGGATTTTTTAAAAAAATTCATGTTTCTGCATATTACTGTTACCAAAACAGATATATAGGCCAATGGAACAGAACGGAGGCCTTAGAAACAACACCACACATCTACGACCATCTGATCTTTCACAAACCTGACAAAAACAAGCAATGGGGAAAGGATTCCCTATTTAATAAATGGTGTTGGGTTTCTGCCATATGCAGAAAGCTGAAACCGGATCCCTTCCTTACATCTTATACAAAAATTAACTCAAGATGGATTAAAGACTTAAACATAAGACCTAAAACCATAAAAGCCCTGGAAGAAAACCTGGGCAATACCATTCAGGATATAAACATGGCAAAAGACTTCATGACTAAAACACCAAAAGCAATGGCAACAAAAGCCAAAATTGACAAATGGAATCTAACTAAACTAAAGAGCTTCTGCACAGCAAAAGAAACTATCATCAGAGTGAACAGGCAACCCACAGAATGGGAGAAAATTTTTGCCATCTATTCATCTAACAAAGGGCTAATATCCAGAATCTACAAAGAACTTAAACAAATTTACAAGAAAAAAGTAAACAACCCCATCCAAGAGCGGGCAAAGCATATGAACAGACACATCTCAAAAAAAGACATTTATGCAGACAACAAACATGAAAAAGTGCTCATCATCACTGGTCATTAGAGAAATGCAAATCAAAACCACAATGAGATACCATCTCATGCCAGGTAGAATGGTAATCATTAAAAAGTCAGGAAACAACAGATGCTGGAGAGGATGTGGAGAAATAGGAACACTTTTACACTGGGAGTGTAAATTAGTGTAATTAGTGTAAATTAGTTCAACCATTGTGGAAGACAGTGTGGTGATTCCTCAAGGATCTGGAACTAGAAATACCATTTGACCCAGCAATCCCATTACTGGGTATATACCCAAAGGATTATAAATCATTCTACTATAAAGACACATGCACACGTATGTTTATTGTGGCACTCTTCACAATAGCAGACTTGCAACCAAACCAAATGCCCATCAATGATAGACTGGATAAAGAAAATGTGGCACATATACACCATGAAAAACTATGCAGCCATGAAAAAGGATGAGTTCATGTCCTTTGCAGGGCCATGGATGAAGCTGGAAACCACCGTTCTCAGCAAACTAACACAAGAACAGAAAACCAAACACCACATGATCTCACTCGTAAGTGGGAGTTGAACAATGAGAACACATGGACACAGGGTGGGGATCATCACACATTGGGGCCTGTCGGGAGGTGGAGGGGTGGGGTTAGGGATAGCATTAAGAGGAATAGCTAATGTAGATGACAGGTTGATGGGTGCAGCAAACCACCATGGTACATGTATACCTATGTAACAAACCTACACATTCTGTATGTGTACCCCAGAACTTAAAGTATAATAAAAAAATTCATGTTTTTATTGGTTAATTTTGCTGACTTTTTGTATCTGATTTAGTAAATAGCTGCTATTATTAGCAACTTATAACAACTCTGCCTACGTTTTTTTGAAAATCAACATATTCTGCCACCAACTCACAAAAATATATTCAATTGATCTTTTGATTTCATAAATATAAACATTTATTACTGTAAATTATCAGGAATATAGCTTTGATCACATTTTATGAATTCTGGTATGTAAGCTTTTTGTTAATTTTAAAATAGTTTATGTAAGCAATTTATTATTGGCAACTTTTAACAACTTCTGCCTACTTTTATTTGAAAATCAACATATTCTGCCACCAACTCGCATAGATATATAAAACTAGGTTTTTGATTTCATAAATATAAACATTTATTGCTGTAAATTACCAGATATATAGCTTTGGCCACATTTTATAAGTTCTGATATGTAAGTCTTTGTTAATTTTAAAATAGTTTATGTAAACAATTTTATTCTCCTTTTTGAAATAACAGTTATTTAAAGGAGGAAAACTTTTATATATATAGAAATCATTGTCACTAAACTTGTGAAAGCCACTGACACTCTTCAAAGTAAACACACAATCACTTCATGCTTTACAAGTAATGTCAGATTACCCATCAATCACTGGAAATCACCAATTAGGATCTTCCAATTTCAATGGCTTTTAAAATTTCCATATAATTGTAATTTATTTGGCTGTTTTTTATTATTCATATTTATTTGATTTTTGTTAAAGGGCTTGATTTTTAAATTTCTCTTTGAGGGATTATATTAAAGGGTTTATTTGAAAGTGGATCTAAAATTTTCAATATATTTAAATATATATCAAGTATGTAATACATAGGCTTACATTTTTAAGAAGAGTTACTCATTGAACCTTCATGAATTATATTATTTCAATAATTTGTATGTTTTCATCTTTATTATACTTGAAACTATTCTCAAAAGTCCATGTTAAAATCAACTCCAATAATTATATATGAATTTTTTTAGTTTCTAAGATTTTCTATTCTGCATATTTTGCAATGAAAAATTTCTGATTTCATGCTTTTGTTTTTATCTGTCATCAATTTAATTTATTGGTTTTGTTTCTTGTAAATTTTTTTATTTCTGTTCTTCTGATATTATCACTATCCTGCCTTCTTTTAAATTGAATTTTAGTATTTATTTTTGGATTTTTATAGGTCCTTTTGTTTAAAGTGTCCCTAATATAAATAATTTATAACTGGCAGTTAGGGCAATTTAATCTACTATTATCTATCAAAATAACCAAAAGTTTTGGTTTATTTATTTTAGCTATAAGGTTTTATAATTTCTGTATGTTTACTTCTATACCTATCATGTTTTATAATTTTTTGAAACATTATTCAGGTTGTTTCTGGTCTCATTTTGCTATTCTTTTGGAATTGATTTATATTTTTGTTTTAATAGTTGTTACTTCAAATATAAAGGAAACTGGAGTAAATTGAATCTTGATACCATTAAGATTAAAAACGAAATAACGTATAGATATTGAAATAATGTCTTGATAACATAATTTTCTAGTTATCTTGCTTTTTCCTCCTCTACTTCCCACACTTTGTTGAAATAATATAATATTTTAAATCCAGAGTGATACTATTTTCAATATGATCAATTTTTAATGCTATTTATTTGACATTTATATTAATTCTCATATCCACATTAATAATTACTTAATTTTAACTTTGAAGTTGTGCTATGGACTGAATATGTCTCCCCTGAATTCATATGTTGAAATTCTAACTCAAATGAGATGGTTTTAAGATGTGGGTCCTTTGGATGTATTTGGGTCGTGAGGTTGGAGTTTTCATGAATGGGATTAGTGCCGTTATGGAAGAGACACAGAGTTTGCTTTCCCTCTTTTTTTTTCTCTGCTCTCTGCCGTATGAGGATATAGCAAGAAGATAGCAATCTGGGAAGAGAGCCCTCAGCAGCCCCCAGATCTGCTGATATATCTTTATCTTGAACTTCTATGTCTTCAAAACTGTGAGAAATAAATGCGTGTTGTTTAAGCCTCCTAGTCTATGGTATTTCATGTAATAGTTGCGCAAACTAACTAATATAATAAGGGTTTCATTGATCATGATTTTCAGAAAAGTTATGTTGTTGATATTTTTTGTAAATCTTTAAGTATAGAAAAATGTCATTCTTCCGATTTTACATTTAAAAATAATTTGGCTGCATATAGGAAATTTGCTTTTTGATATTGTTTCTTCAAATTCTGCTATCATGCCTAATTACATTTTATCATTTTATATTATGGAAGAGAAGCCTGAAGCAAGAATTACCTTTTTTTTTTTCTTTTTCTTGAATGTTTAGATTTCTGTTTCTTACTAGATAGTCATCTCTTTATCTTTCAAATTCAGATTTGTTTTTAGAATACATTTAACTTTGCTGTGAAAGAATCAAAGTTTCTATGATAAGATAGGTACGTAATATTTGGTATTCTTTCCATTAAGAATTGTCTAATTATCTTTGAATCTATTCTGGCCTATAACTTCTTTGAAAAATAGAATATGCAGAAGTGATGTATAAAACTTCTGAGGCTAGGTCTTAAGAAGCTTTGCTGCTTCCATCCAGGCCTCTTATAAAATTCATTTTGGGTAAGGCCAAGCTGCAAGTAAAAGTCCAACTACTCTCAGACAACCATGCTGTGAGGAAGCTGAGTTAGTCACAAGGAAATGTCAAGTGGAAAGAGACAATTGCTGGAACAATCCACCCACCTATTCCAAACACCCAGCCCAACACCTAACATGTGAAGAAGAAGCCACTTTGTACATGCCAGCCCCAAGAGATGCACTGTGAAGAAGAGAGGAACCCTTACAACATTGAGATTTAAGATCTCAGCCATATGGCCCCAGTCAAGCCTCTAAAACCACAATTAATCATATAAATTGCCATAGCTGAGAATCCCATCATCATGGGCAAAAATGAACTGACTCTGACTGAATTCTAAACACACAAAATTGTGAGCCTAACAAAATGATTTCTGTTCTATACAATTAAGTTTTAAGGTGATTTGTTAGTAACAACAAAATACCAGAACAATTTCCAGTATGAAAACTAAAGATGTTTTCTTTTATTCCCAAATTCAAATCTATATCACTATTTTTTTGATGACTACTTTCTCTGACAGGTATTTTTTTTCTTTTGGTAATGCTCTTCTTTACAGATTGGATGGCTTATATTTGCTCTCTATATGTATTTCTGTGTCTATTTCATGTATCTTTTCAGTGTATCATTTAATTTTTTTTTTTTTGCCTGGGAAAATTCCTTTTTTTGACTTTTAATTTAGAATCTAGCTCTTTGCCTTATTCAATTGGGTGTTTACTGCCTGCATTGAGGTAATTAGTTTAATAATTACATTTTACATCCCCAGTAACTCTTTTTTTCCCCTAAGTTATTTTTGTGAAAACCTAATCATCATATATTAATACAGTGTACTCTTAAGTTTCATAGAAAGTGCTGTTTGGATTGTTTTATAATGCATTCTCCTTCTTTTAGGAACTTTGTTTTTGTCAATTGTCTGAATATTTATATTGGTTCTTATGAAAGAAAATTGCCAAAGGCTCTTTATTAAGTGAACTCATAAAATGCTTTAACTCCTATTCAATCTTTTCTCCATTGCCCCAATAAAACTGAGCTCTATAAGACCTTCTTTCTTAATGTGCTAAATAATGAAATTCCAGATTCTTCCCTTAAAAATTCAGGTTTGCATAACTAATAAAAGAAGCCTAGGAAATAAATGAAGAAGATGTATTCTTTCCCTGCAGGTTTGGGTGAGAGATACCATTTTGCATCATAAAACTTATTTAAATAATCTCATATGGTAGGGAGTTAAAATGAGAGCTTTCTCAAGAATATCCATTTTATTCTGTGTAAAATTGATATGTATGTGAATATTCATAACTATTGTTAACTTGTTCTGTTCTCTGTTAAATATATTTGCCTATGATAATACACTTTAAACAAAGGGTACTGTGATTTATAAGTTTCCAAAGGCTTTAGAAATTCTTGTAAAGACCTGTGAAAAAATGTTAGTTTTTTTATGAGTTGTTACTAATCTTAAGTTCAAATATTGAAGGATAGAAATACATAGTCATGTTGTGTTTTCTTAATTTTATTTAGCAATAGATTTTTCAATGCCAAGTGGGCAGTGCTATGATTTCTCTCATCTTTTCTATCAGGTGGTCTAGGGAGTGAGGAATTGTCAGGGTTATTTAGAGAAACAGAAGCAACAAGATTATATTTGTGTGTGTGTGTGTGTGTGTGTGTGTGTGTGTGTGTACTGCCGATCCTTGAAACACACAACTTTTGAACTGTGAAGATCTACTTATATGCAAGTTTTTTTCAACTAGAAGTCAAAAATACAGTATTGGCAGGATGCTAAACCCACCTATACAGAGGACAAACTTTTTGTATGCACAGGTGTGAGGGGTCAACTGGTAGACTTGAGTATTTGTGAATTTTGTTGTATGTGGGGGTCCTGGAACTAATAGCCTATGTATACCAAGAGACAACTATATATATGGACAGAAAGAGCAAAAGAGAAAGAGAATGAAAAAGACATATATATTATAAGAAACTGGCTGACATGATTATTGAGGCTGAGAATCTGCTATCAGCAAGAAATCATATTGCAGCTCTGGTTTGGGGCCAAAAGCCTGTGGACAAGGAGATCCAATGGCAGAGATTCCAATACAAAAGCTGCAGGCTCAAGACTCAAGAAAAATCAATGTTTCAGTTTCAGTCCAAAGTCAGGAAAAAAAGTAATGCCCCAGTTCATGCAGTCAGGCAGGAGGAATTGCCTTTTATTTGTGGAAGGGGCAGCCTTTTTGTTCCGTTCAAGACTTGAATTGATAAAATGAAAACCATCCATATTAGGGAGCACAATGTCTTTTACTCAGCCTACCAATAAAAATGTTACTCTCATCCCAAAACGCTATTTCAGACACAGAATAACATTACTGGGCAACTTATGACCCAGTAAAGCTGACACATAACCATCATATGGTCATTAACATGGTTAACATGACAGTTAACCATCACATGGTCAACATGACAGTTAACCATCACATGGTCATTGGCTAAATGCACCATCAATTTGAAAAGTGGAATAAAAAATAAATTCAAAGCTTCCTACTTTCTAGGTCTAAGTATGTTTGAAAATTTACAATTTATATTCTGGCTAATTTCAAAGAGAGTAATAATGACCTTAAATTTATGACTAATGCAGAAAATTATAGGGCATGTCAGTCTTGCTTCACCTAACAGTTTGGCTATTTTTAATTTTATTGATTTTGAAAACTTTGAAGATTTTCTGGAATTGATTATGCTTTCGTGTAGTCCTGTCTTCATTTTCTTTCTGTTTAACTGCCATGGCACAGAATTTTCAGATATTGGATCTAACAAAAAAGGTATGCTATAATACAAAACAGGTAAAATAACATTTTGGGATTACATTAAAAAAAAGAAACTATAGGCATTTCCAGACTCTGAAGTTATGATAATTATTTCTTTTTAAGAGAACAACATTTATTTAGTAGCATCAAGGGTGCTCTCTTGTGATACTAGTGGCTAGCTTTTATTCCCCGATTTAATTTCATCATGAAATTTCTGGCTTTGATGCTTACTGATTTTGGAATCCTCACTTTACACGTTGAAAACATCCCAAGGCATCTCTATAGGTGATTGAAATTTTCTTTATAGAAAGTTTAGTTTTGTGGTTAAGTGATGTATAGACCGAGTACAACAATGAACCTATAAAGAATATTTGAAAAATTTGAGGATGTAGGCTTTTATCTAGGAGTCAAAAATTATCAGTATCTAGTGACTTAATCTTTACATATGTTTGATTTAATATTTTAAGTAAAATATTGGCTGACCCAAGTTTGTATTCTTGACGACTTTCAAGGAAAGACTACTTTACTTGATTCTAAAATTTCTTCATGATAAGCATCTGGACAAGATAAAAATGAAGCTCTTCTGAATAACTTAGAGGAATTCTCTGACCTGTTTATAATACCCCTTGCTCTACTTGCCTCACAAGATATACATGAGCTTTCAAACATGGGTCAGGTCCTGTTGTTTGGAAAACACTGATATTTTCTGTGCTTGAATTTCCTTACATAGCCCATGTCAATTCTCATTCCTTTCATTTGCTCATTCTGACATCTCTGCCTTTCTCCTTCACTGCCCTATAATGCCTATTTACCCTTTAAGACTATGCTAAGGAGTTACTGTCTCCCATATGAAACCTCTCATAAAAATTATCCACAAATAAAGGTTCATGAAATGATGTTCCTCCACTCCCAGTGTTCCTGTGCAAGCTCTTACAATTCTCTTGCTTTATGTAGTAGCATGGTGAGAAATAATGATTGAGATAGTTTTCTGCCCTAAAATATTATAACTGCCTTCAGGGATTACTACAGAAATAGATCCCCATAAGAAAAACTTTATATATTCTTCAGGGACAATTTCAAAATGGCACACTTCTTGCTGTAAAATTATCATGCTCTTAGCAGTAGTAAGAGGAGCTGAAATATTTGTCTATTTCCTTTAAGAGATAAATGAATGAAGGTGAGAAGTGCAGAAAGGGATGATTGTTGAAGGTAAAGAGAACTAGTACTTGATTGGTTCCCCCTCCTTGAAGCTAAGAAAAGAAAATTTTGGCACAAATCAAGGAAAGAAGTTTGAGGTTGCCCTCAGAGGATACTAGCAACTCCAAAGAATACTCCATGCCTAGGGAATCTGCTTGAGGTGGAGTCCCTCATCAGCAAGACTTGTATAACTTTAAAAATGCACAATAAATCATAGACCATAAGCTGGAGCAGTAGTGAAGTTACAGAAAGAAGGTGGCAGTCTCACCAGAGGAAGTCATGCAGGGGATGCTTTCTCCTCTTCCTTCTCATGGACTCTATCCTACAAGGCAAGTACCAGGAAGACAGAAAGTCAAATGTAAGGCAGAGGGCACTAGACCATGCCCCTTCTTTGATTTCAAGACTAAGAAAAGCTGGGGTGAAGGGAAGAGTTTTGAATTACAGAGGATGACTTCTATTACCCTCTTGAAAAAGTACTTTCTTTTGTTTAATTTGTTGGTGTAAGTCACACATAAAGTTAGAATTAAAGCATTATAAAGATAATTTTTAAAAAGGGGACAAGGGGCTGATTTGACTCAAGGCAACTGCTAGAGGAATCTATTTGGTCTTTCATTTATGTGGTAAAATAACTGCAGGTAAACATTTTAATAAGCAATTAGCTCAGAACCTAGTTTTTCTTCATTGAAAGCAGAGAGTTCTGTACTATCACATCCACTGGAGACAGAGCAGATAGAAATTTCTTTTGGTATGCTATAGTAGATGAATTTAAAGGTAAACAGTAAACATTAAATACATGAATATAAAACTCTTATTTTTTAAAATGTCTACATGTTTTCACTGACAGTAGAAACATAAATTGTTGAAACTATAAAAATGATAACTTAAACTATAACTCTAAGATGTTTTAAATTCTTCACTTATAATAATAACAGACAACTAAGCTCTGTGTTTTTCTTGGCAGTTGACCTGTCTACTCAGATCCTAGAAGCAAATGAGAAAATGTAAATTGCCATAGTACCCAGAAAAGCACAGAAGGTTGATATTTGATAAGGACAACAAAAAAGAACTAAAATCAGGACTGAGAAATTTCTATTTGAGGTTCGTAAACTAGAAAGACCTCCTATCAATAGGGACTGATATTTCACAACAGAAACATATGGAAATTGGTGTGTATATTAATAGCGTTTGTAGCTTATGTATGTTCAACAGAGTTTTTGGAAAACTACATAGCTTATTTTCCTTCCTTGTATTTAAGAGATTCTTTGATTTTATTCATTTCTAAGTAAAATAGTTGCCTCAATAATGTAAAAGAGGAATCAAAATAGTTTTTAAAGTCCAGATTCTAGCATGCAAAATAGCAAACAAGACATTGTGGCTTCAAGTTCCAAAATAACAAGCACCAGAAATTAACTAGCTTCTTTTGCATAATAAAACATTTTTGAAAGGATGTTAAAGCAAATTTCACCTGTCCCCAATAAAGATCGAAACCATAAAATTTTGGAAAGCAAGTTTTGGGTGCATCTACAGGGAACTAAGCTGCATGAGTTTGTGGCATTTTATTTTCTAGAACGTGACTTTTAACATTACTCAGAGATTTTCAGTATTTATATGTTTCTAAGTTTCAAATTCCTGGGAGAGGGAAGCCGATTGATCTATGTCAGATTAATCAGGGATGGCCAGGTGGGGAAACGGCTACACAGAACTGAATAATCCTTGCAGTACTCTTAAGCACAAGAGAGCCACTCAAATTGAGACTCCTATACCAGTTAAGCAATAGAACAGGAACCTAATAAGGCCTGAGTAAGGCTATTTTATTTTTATCAAGCATACAGTACTTTTTAGTATTTATTTGTTAAAAGAATAGAAGAATTCTCCTGTAATATTATTTGTTTAATAAAAGAAGGCATAAAAATAAAAATATGTGGGGAAATTGACCTGAAACAGTTATAGTCTTACTAAAGGTACTTCTCTGTGCCTCTTCTATAAATTTAATATAATAATGTTAACTAGCTGACAAAAATTTTGTGAGAATTAAATGAAATAATACTTGTAAACTGCTTCACTTTTTTTCCACTTTTCTCATCTTACTCCGTAGGAGTTAAACAGGCTCACTTGCCCAGTCTCTTTGCTATTATGAATGGCTATGCAGCTTAGTTTTAGCAATAACATAAAGTGATGTAGAATTCTGAAGAACGTGAAGATTTTTTTGTTTGTTAGTTTTCATAATAATGATGGCTCTATATCCGTGTTAGCTGTCTTGTAAGCAAAAAGAAAAGTATAAGAACTAAAATCCAAAATGTCAAGGAGGAAAAGGACTTGTAATCTTGATGATATTTATTACTCAGTTGAACTGATCCCAGCAAATATGCAATTTGAGACTACTTGTGTTAGAAAAAAACTATTTTAATGCAATATTAGTTGAATTATTTATTACATGCAGAAAAAATGTACTATTACTGAAATAGACACAATTCCATTCTTTTCCTGATCCTACAGAATGTCAGAGAACTTCTAGACTAGTAAGTTTTTTATATAAAGATTATTAATTTCATAAAATATATTTCTATATCTATATTATCAGTAATTCCAAACAGTAATCTTGACAGTTGAATCAACTGCATCAACAATGTTCTGATCCAGGAGTACTTGTTTACATTTATTAGCATTTGTCTTCAGATTTCTTTAGAAAAAGTTTCTCATAAAATCTCAGCAATAAAACCTCTAAAATAATGCTGTGTACTTCTCAGTGCACCATATGCCACACATTATTATTCAGTCACTGGAGTGTAATCTTGTTCATCTTGTTATGTCAATGTATGCCATTGGTGTCTGACAGGTTTTCCATCATATTTTCACTATTTTTATTTCCTTTCAATTGATTAGTATTTTGTGAGAGGTATTCTATGATAACTCATCAAACTTATATACACCAGCATTAACATCCATTGTTGAATCTCATCTGAAATAACCCTATGTATGATAATTGACTGGGTGAGGAAGTAAAGGGGAAGGAAGACAAGAAGGGAAGAGATGACTTGAGAAGAGCAGAGGGGCATTAAAAAGAAGATGGGCCATTATAGGAAGGTGGGGAAGAAAGTAAAAACAGGAAATGAATGGAAGATGGAAAGTCAAAGCAACAAATGTTGTTTTTAAAAGAAAATCATCATGATAGTAAAATACTTTTCATGTTTATATGACTGATAAGTCAAAGCCAGTCCCTCTGCTTCCAAATGGAAAATTACATCTTTAAGTGAAATTAAAATGTTTTAAGCAATGGTGTTTAAATGAGAACCATCAAAGAGGCTGACTAGAGGCAACTGGTAATTGATTCCTCCACAAATAAACATCAAAAGAATGAGTACATAATCACACTTCAAGTATATCATCTAAGAGAGAAGTCTGAAATTCAACATAGATGTGACAGGAAACACTTAAGCAAAGACAGAAAGTAAAGTAAGGCAGCCTGCTTAGCTGGGATAGGCTGGGAGTCTAGAGAGGCTCCCAGTACAGGAATAGGGTAAGTGAGAAATCTCCAGCAGTCCACATTCCCACCATGAACCCCAGCAGTCCTAGACATGGGAGAGCCCCTAGACCCTCAAGGACTCTAAGACTAACATAGGGAGCCTGGCTGGAGACCTAGTGAAGGCATTGCTTCAGAGAAGAAGCTGACACTGGGTCCCATATCCCACCCCCCAGGTTCTGCCAAGCTACAACTGGGCCCCATATTGAGAGCCCAACCCCAACCCCAACCAAAATGCATATTTCCCAGGGACCAACAGCCTTTGTATTTCCACATCCCTAGAGCCCCATTGATATTCCCCTCTTACAGCCATCACTGTGGCCAAACAGTGAGCAGTCCCCAGCTGCTTGTATATGCATACTATCACTGAAAACAACCCCACTCTTCCTAGTATCAGGGTTGTAGCACAGCCCTAGCCACCCCAACTTGAGATCTTTGCCAAGGGTCTGTGGATTGCCTTGCCCTTCCCCTGGGGCCTGAAGTCTGAGGACTTTTGAAAAATACATTCATGCTTCAACAATAGATTAGATCAAGTAGAAGAAAAAGATTCAGAAATTTAAGACAGGTCTTTTGAAATAACCTAGTCAGACAAGAGCAAAGAAGAAAGAATAACAAGGAATGAATAAAGCCTAGATGATATGTAGGACCTGATAAGAAAACCAAATATTCAAAATTTTGATGTTACAGACAGTAAAGCGATGACCAAAAGGATAGAAAACTTGTCTAATGAAATAATAGCTGAAAATTTCCCAAGTCTAGCAAGAAACTTAGACATTCAGATAAAAAGGCTAAGATAACCTCAAAAGATACAACTCAAAAAGGTCTTATCCACAAATATAATACTCAAATTGACTATAAATCCAAAGACAAAAAGATAAATCTAAAAACTACAAGAGAAAATTGTCTAGTCATTTATAGGTGAATCCACATTGCACTACATTTCTCAGCAGAAATCTTACAAGTGAGAAGACGATGGGATGATGTATTTGAATTGCAGCAAGAAAAGAAACTGGCAACCAAGAATGCTATACCCAGCAAAGTTATTCTTCATAAATGAAGGAGAAATAAAGTCTTTTGCAGTCAAAAACAGATGAGGGAATTCATTACCACTAGACCAGTCCTACAAGAACTGCTTAAGGTAGTCCTATGCCTAGGAGCAAAAGGGCAATATCTATTAGGTTGGTGCAAAAATAATTTCTGTTTATGCCTTTATGGCTAATGGCAAAAACTGTAATTACTTTTGCAGCAACCTAATACCATCATGAAAACATATAAAAGTATAATACCAACTGGTAGAGCAAACACGCAAACAAGGAAGAGAAAGGATTCAAACTCAAATGTTATTGCTATAGAAAATCACCAAATAACAATAATAAACAATAAGAGAGAAAGAAAAAAAGAGGATATTCACAACAACCATAAATCAATTAATAAAATGAGAGAAACAAGGGCTCACATGTAAACAATAACCTTGAATATAAATGAATTAAACTTTCCACTTAAAAGATATAGACTGGCCAAATAGATCTTTTTGGGAAAAAAAAAAAACCATTTGACCCATCTATATGCTGCCTACAAGAAACTCATCCTACCTGTAAATACATATATAGACTGAAAGTAAAGGTATGGAAAAAGATATTCCATGCAAATGCAAACGAAAAGTGAGTGGGAGTGCCTTTGCTTATATCAGATAAAACAGATTTTAAGTCAAAAACAGTAAAAAGAGAGAAAGAAAGTCATTATATAATGATAAAGTGATCAATACAGCAAGAGAATATAACAATTTGCAACATATGCACCTAACACTGGAGCACACAGATATGCAAAGTAAATATTATTAAATCTAAAGGAAGAGATACACTTCAATACAATAATAGTTGGGGACTTCAGCACCCTACTCTCAACATTAGACAGATCATGTAGACAGAAATAACAAAGAAACATTAAATTTAAATGATATATCAGACTAAATGAACCTAACAGATATTTATAGACCACTTCATACAACAGGTACAGAGTATACATTTTTCTCATCAGCATATGGAGCATTCTCCAGGACAGATCCTATATAATGACACAAAACAAGTCTTAAAAAATTTTAAAAAATCCAAATCATATCAAGTATCTTCTCAAATCACCATGGAATAAAACTAGAAATCAACAAGAAGAGAAACCTGGGAAACTGTATAAATACATGAAAATTAAACAACATGCCTCTGAATGATTACTGGGTCAATGAAAAAATTAAAAAGAAAATTAAAAAACAATTATTGGAACAAAAATCAAAACACAACATAAAAAAACCTATGGGATACAGCAAAAGTAGTTCTAACAGAGAAGTTTATCACATAAATGCTTGCATCAAAAAAGTTGAAAGATTTCAACAATCTGATAATGTACCTCAAGGAACTTGAAAAGCAAGCTCAATCCAAACAGAAAATTAGTAGATGTAAAGAAAAAAATAAATAAAAATTAAAGCAGAACAAAACAGAGACTGAAAAATCATGCAAAAGATTAAAAAAATGAAAAATTTTCTCTTTAATTAAACAACATTGATAAACTGCTAGCTAGAATAACCAAGAAAAAAGAAAGAATACCAAAATAAAATTAGAAATGAAATGAAAAAGAAGACAGTACAACTAATACCACAGGAATACAAAAGATCATCAGAAACTATAAACAACATATAGTGACAAACTGGAAAACAAAGGAAATAGATAAACTCTTGGACACATACAACCTCCCAAAATTGAATCAGGAAGAAACAGAAAACCTGAACAGACCAATACTGAGTAATATATTTGAATAAGGAGTAAAATATCTTCTCCCACAGAAAAAATCCAGGACCAGATAGCTTCACTGCCAATTCAACCAAGCTTTTAAGTAAAAACTAAACTAGTTCTCTTCAAACTGTTCTGGAAAATTGAAGAGGAGAGAATTCTCTCTAACCATTCCACAAGGCCAGCATTACTCTGATACCCAATCTATACAAGGATGCACCCAAAAAAGAAAACTACAGATCAATATCCCTGATAAATATGTTAGAAATAATAAAACAGCCATGTTAGAAAACAGTAGATTGATTTCTCAAAATACTAAAAATAGAACTGCTATACGATCTAGTAATCCCACTACTGGGTATTTATCCAATGCAAAATAAATTAGTAGATCAAAGGGATGCCTGCACTCACATGTTTATTGCAGCACTATTCACAATAGTAGAGATTTGTAATCAACCTAAGTGGCCATCAGTGGATGAATAAAGAAAATGTGGTATATATATACATACATGGAATACTACATTGGGCTATGAAAAAGAATGAAATAATGTCATTTGCAGCAACATGAATAGAACTGGAGGTCTTTATGTTAAGTGAAATAAGCCAGGCACAAAAAGAAAAAAAAATAATCTGTTATTATTTGTGGGAGCTAAAAAATTGATCTCGTAGTGGTTGAGAGTGGAATGATAAATATCAGAGGCTGGCAAGGGTAATGGTGTGGAGTAGTGATCAAGAGAGTCTGGTTAATGGGTACAAACATGCAGTTAGGTAGAAGCAATAAGTTTTAGTGTTTGTGACCATAGTTAACAACAACGCATATTTCAAAGTAGCTAGAAGAGAAGATCTGAACTGTTTCCAACACAAAGAAATAATAAATACTCAAGATGATGGACACCCCTGACTTGGTCATTATACATTCTATTCATGTAACAAAATAACACGTGCACTTAATAAATATGTACAAATGTTATGTATCAATAAATTTCTTTAAATGCTTTAAGCAATGGTATTCAGATACATGTTTAGTTAAGTGGAGCAAGAGTCAAGATGTCAATCTTTTGTTTATACTTCAGATTAGGCATTTATTTTTTTAAATATAGTCTAAACAATTGCTGCGTGGTTTTAGAGATTTAAAAAACAGCATAATTTGTATATTTATTATGACAAAAATCTATAGAGATACAAGAATGTGAAAATATTGAGAGGCTGTTTAGAAGCAGTTCAGCACGTTACATGTGCTGATTCCTCCATGAGTCCCCATTCATATAGAAAAGTAAGGCATTATTAGTGTTTGTGCCATGAATTTTATGCACTAGGGGCAGTGTAGTATGTGGCTGATGGCCCAATGGATAATGCTACAAGAAAGAGTGACAGTGAAGAAATACTCACTCTTACCCTTCCATGGCAACATATCCAACCTCCAATCACATCCACCATAACGCTTTGTTGAACTTCTGCAGCATGAGTTTTCATATCTATTCTTTTATTTCTTTGTGGGCAGAAACCTTGTCTTATTCATCTTTACAGGCCTTGTACATAGCACGATGCCTAGCCCATAGTATAAATTCAATACATAATTTTTGAAGGAATAAAAAACTGACTAAAATTTTGCGATGCCATTTTTAGTTAGTTAATAGGGCAGTATCTAGGACTGAGATCAAGCAGTAACTGTACAGAGCCCTCTGGATTTTTAGTTACACAGGCATGAGTGGTTCTTGGCAATAATCACACTAACAACTGCTAGAGTGCTATTGCTACCTTTCAACTTTAAGAAATATTGTCTACCTGCTCAACAGCTTCTGCTTAGCTAGTTGTTTACGATTTGAATTTCTTCTGATGGCCTGTGGTCAGATTCTCTCAACAGAAGTTGATAGAGTCACCTTCCATGTCAGAGGCACCTTTTCCGGATAATGGTTAGAACCTGAAGAGGAATTAAAGAAAATCCCATTGGGGATTCAGGAATGATTTTTTTCTCCTGAATATTTTGTAAGGCAGAATCACAGAGACCATAGAGTGGTTAAGGGTATAACATCAAACAAATCTGAGTTGAATACCAACTCTGCCAAATCCTAAATGAGCCCTAATTGAGTTCTGGCAACCCCATTGCCTTAAGAAAATTTATTTAATTTTGTTGTGTCAGTCAAGGTCCAACAGTGAACAATTGTCATACATTAAAGGACTGATTGAAGAGAACTCAAGGTTGTTCAGAGTTAAGGAAATAACAAGGGGTAATAAAGAGTCCGAACTAGCAACAGCAGGAAGCCATTTTTACCTTAGGCCTGAAAGAAAAGAAGAAGCAAAGGTGTTACCACATCACAGAGACAGCTGGAGACATAGAAGTGAGACCACTGATTTGAACTATGGTCACAACGGAAGGCAGTCCCTAGCAGAACCACAGCAAAGTGAATAAATATCCCTATATCTTCTCTCACACTCCATCACCATTCAGTTCTTACAACCATTTGAATCCAACCATAAGACAGAGAGCCATTAGCCCAGGAAAAAAGTTCCTAGAGGTTAGCCTCTCAATGTGAGCAACAAGGCAGAAAAGTGTAGAGGATAGATCTGGAGGGAAATAGAGAATAAAAATATTCCCTAATCTTCAGTTTTCCATTCTATAAATTGGGGATTATAATCATATCTTTCTTGTACAGTTGCTGTGAAGGTTGAATGAAATAATGGATTCAAAGCATTGAGCATGCGGTTTAGCACATTGTTACTACTTGTTAAGTTGTATTTTATCCTCTGAAAGTTTCCTAAAGCTCTGAACAGAGGGATCCTAACTTGTGAAAACAATTCTTTTCTTTTTCTTCTTTTTTTTTTTTTAGAGACAGAGTCTCGCTCTGTCACCCAGGCTGGATTGCAGTGGTGTGATCTCAGCTCACACAATTCTTTTCTAATTAATCTTCTATTTCAAAACAGATAGAATTTAAGAATGTCTCTTCTATTTTCAGGATATTCCTACACACACAGTTTATACAGTTGCAATCCTTACTGGCTTGAGATTTGTATTCAGAATGATCCAGGCTCCAATCTGGTCTCCACTTTCTTTACTATTTCGTGTGGCTGGACAATTGTGTATTTTATGTAAGCTACAGTTTTCTCAACTAGAAAAAAATAAGGCAATAATAACCCTGCCTCACAGATGTGTGTCAAAAACAAAACAAGGTCTACCTAACATGATAAGCGTTCAAAAGTTAGCAATGTTATTCTTTAATATTACTATACGATACATTAATATTTCAGTGTATATTTAAAGCTATAAGGCCAATATCCTAATAACAGAGAATGAGACTATTATTAATATACAATTTACCAAAAGAATCTAAGAAATGCAGTGGATCCCAAGAATCTTCAAATATATTTTTGTATTCTGCATTACCAAGTGGTAAAGATGATAACAGGTTGAATCCGAATGTTCTCGATAACATGTCTTCTTGTTCAACCTGACTTTATTTTCCTCTGACCACTGAGCTATATGGAGTCATTTAGGCAATTACACAATTTTCCTTGCTCTGCTTGGTCAAGAGTCACTCAGGGAAAATGTTTGGGAGAAAATAGAATCACTCTACCTTTTCTTAGAGGGAACCAGCAAATGTCACTGAATGAGAAATGTTCTTGACGCAGAAGAATGCACCAGTGATGAGCATATTTACCATTCTTGATGACTACATCAAGTCCACACCACCATCAACATTCAGTGGAAACCAAGACCTGCAGGAAACAATTCCATTTGTAAAAGGTCAAACATTGGTAGCCCCAAGCTTTTGAAATGAAGCAGAGAAAACAATTTTAAAGCTATTTACTACCCTGTTCTCTGACAGCTTTTGTCCCGACTTCCAGTAAGAGAGATTTGCTTTTATAGTCACAATCCTTTAAGTAAATACAATGCTTGTGGCTACAAAATGCATTTGATTGCTTTCTTTGAGTCATAAGGCTTTTATCTTGTTTCTAAAATCATAAAGCTTACTAGACATTGCCTTTTTCCAAGAGTATTGACTGATGTCCATCCTATACATTTAGGTAATCAGATAAAGGTATAGATGATGATAGAGTAAGTTTGGTAATGCAGGAAGAAATTCATAATACATTAAGACATTTTTACAATGGAAGTAACGTGCCTTTTGTAGGGTAGAAAAATTGTTGTTATTGTTTGATGACAACAAGTTGCACTTCTAATACACTTCCCAGACTTATTGTGTATTAACAGGAATATATTTGGAAGTCCTTCAGCATTTTAACAGTAAAAAACCCACATATATAAATCATTAAACTTGCTGGCATACTTCTAGAACACTGTGGCAAAATAAGAAGAGGAGTAATAATTATAAAGCAGACAGAAGCTTGTACAAAATCTGGTGTAGTTTTTGTTATAAACTGATGGCTGAAATGCATTCTATGTGTACTTTTATTAAAAAAGTCACAGAGAAAATAAATATTTTAGAAAAATGTCAACATTCAACTTTAAAATTAGTTCTATTTAAATGAATTTTATAACATTCATTTAATGATCTTTAGAAAGGTAAACAATTCATAGAGCCACTATTTTTAAAAAAGTATAATTCCTACTCTCATTTTACAGTGAGAAATTTAAATGATTATGTGATTATGTGACTTTCCTGAGGTTACATACTGGATAGAAAAAAACACTTTCTCTCAAATAATGTGAAACAATAAGAGAAAAGGAAAGAGAATGATGGGCTCTAAAACTTTTTCTCTAGGCCTGTTTATGTTTTTATAGTACTGTAAATATAATGTAGGGCTTTCTGAAATCCATTCAGCTGCTATGAGCCATTTTAGGTCAACAATTATGTATGTTTCAAAATAGCCACCTTTTTTTCAACATTTATTTTTATACCTATTAGGTAATAAGCTGTGGTAAGCTATGGGATAGAATTCTCTCTATGGAATTTAAAGTCTTACAAGTAATTACAAATGTGGTCAATGCTACTGAAAGAGTAGTAAAGGATGTTCTTACAGTATATAGACATAGGTCAGAAAGTCCTTTCTAAATAAATTATATTAAACTAGAAATTAAAGGATAAATAGGGATTAACAGAAAAAGTGAGTAACTTGTTGCTTATGAGAATAGAGGCAGGAGCGAATAAGGAGAAAAGTATTTCAGGTAAGGGAACAGCTTATTAAAAGACTCAGAAAGAGAAAGATACAAGCTAGAGTGCACTCAAGGAATCAAAGTAAGTCCAAGAAGTTCAGTGAGGTGGAGGTATAGAATTTATGATAGAGAAAAGAGGCTCAATAATTTAAAATGGACCAACTTACATTAAGATTTACTGAGTTAACACAAAGGGTCTTATTGTCAAATCAACTCATAGAAATAAGCAATCTTACCCAGTACCAAGCTTTACTCATAACATCAGGGATATAAATATTCTCAAGTGTTAGGCAAAACAGACAGAAGTTTAGGACTATCAATACAATTCCACAGGTCCTTCTTGCCACATTAAAAAGTTTTCTTTGGTCTATAATTAAAAGTGAACTATCTAAGTAATGCATTTGGTCACCATTTACACAAAAATAAGTTACTTTGGTCATAATATTTTTCCATTATATATTCCAATTACTACATAATTAATTAAACATAGGTAAGAAAAAGAAAGGAATTAACAGTCACACGTATTTGAGCAACAAGGTAGATGGAACATCAGCTGAGATAAGGAAACACAAAAAGGAGTAGACCTGGCATTGAAAAATCAGTTCAATTTTGGGAAACATGAAAAGGAAGGATGCCTGTGGGCAGTGGGACAAATGGGTTAGCAATGCAGGAGAAGACCCTGGGCTGGAGAGTTGAATGTCACTGGCATAAAAATGTTCATTAGAGCCATGAGAATGAATGAGTTTGCCTAACGAGAACAATTAGGAAGTGGACCAGAAGAAAACTTAGCCAAAATTTAGAGTACAAAATGAATAAGCCAAAAAAAAAAAAAAAAAAAAAAAAAAGCAAGCAAGCAAGCATAGTGTGGAATCTGAGAAGCCAAGGGCTGATTTTTAGATAAATAAAGACAATGTTTATGTCAAAAGCTTCTGAGTTTCCAAGCAAGTGAAAACTCTTCATTGGATTTAATCATGTGATGGGACATGGAATAAAGCCCAAATACCAAGAAGAGACAGATGGATAAATGACACGCAAAAAGTCTAGTTATCAAGTGAAAAGCAAGATACAGCCATAGACAGAAGGAAATAGAGGTTTATGAAAAATTTTTAATAGTATGAGAGAGTGAATATCTTTGAATACTGGTAGAAAAGAAATAGCAGAGAGAAATTTAAGATAGAAAGCTTAGGTCCTTCTCTAGGCTGTGTTGATTTTGAGACTTGTATCTTTGTATTCCTCAGAACAAATAGAGAGCAGTTAATAATTATTTTATTAACTCAAGGAAAAAATAACTTATTTTTTGAAAAGAAATAGTTTTTTAAAATTATTAACAGAAGATAGACTGGGTCCAGAATAATTATTATATCTAAGGTACAAATTTCACACAGAACTTGAGTATCACTGTCCAGTATACCCTTACAGCACTTTTTCATTTTTTAAAAAATCTGCTGAATCTAGTGAACATGCGTGTACTTCAGGCATAAAATGATCCATTCATTTTAGCTTAATCAAAAGAGTTAGAAAAGAATATTTGCTGCACAAGTTATTATATAATACAATCGCAATACAAACAGAAATTTTATTGACTTGCTATTGAATTATCCATACAACTCTCCTGTTCCATTCTCATAAATAATGGAAAGCTGACTATAGTTCAAGTGAAAAAAGATTGATGTACATTGACACATTGATATACTCATATATCTCCTTAGTATTTAAATATGAAAATGTTGGTAGGATTCAAAAATCTTTTTTAGCTTGAAGTAATAATGATAATAACAACAATACAAATATCTTGTTGTTCAGAGATTATATTACTGATTCATCATTGTTAGGATTTTTTTTGGTTAGAAGTGTATGCATTTATACTAATGTACCTCTGTAAACAATAGCACTCTGTTTAGATATTGCTTATGGAATTTAGGGACCAATGTTTTAGCAGGGAAGAGAGGAAAAACATTTGAATGTGAAGAGGATCACCACTTATCTCTCTCATTTTTTTTTTTTTTTGAAACAGAATCTCACTCTGTCCCCGAGACTGGAGTGCAATGGTGCGGTCTTGGCTCACTGCAACTAGGTTCAAGCCATTCTCATGCCTCAGCCTCCTGAGTAGCTGGGACTACAGGCATGTGCCACCACACCTGGCTAATTTTTGTAATTTTAGTAGGGACAGGGTTTCACTGTGTTGACCACGCTGGTCTTGAACTCCTGACTTAGTGATCCATCTGCCTCAGCCGCCCAAAGTGCTGGGGTTACGGTTATGAGCCATCGTGCCCGGCCCACCACTTATCTCTTATACTATTACATTTAATCAGTTGAACTCACTAACTCAGTATAGGACTTTTAAGGATCACTCCTAAGTTAAAAAAAAATGCTATTTTACCATTTGATTGAGAGTTAAGTAGTATAAGATTTTTAAGCTCATCTAATCATCATGGGCTGTGTAGTATTTAAATGCAGGATATCCATAATAACTCTGACTTTCCATGAACTCAGTAAGATATTAAAGAGAAAAACCCTTCAAGCTTCTAAAATATAAAACAATTGCTAGGCAAGATAATATTTCTATTTGTTAAAATTATACTGATGGTCCTCATTGCCCTCCATTGTTAACACCCCTAAAATGTCATCGGGTTTATGACTCCATAAATCTGGAAAATGCCTTACAGTATACTAATGATCATCTGTTTCTAAATTAAAATTGTATCACAATACTGGGGGCTGATATCCACAAAGTTGTTCACTCTTACAAGTAAAGCATTAAACAAAGGGAAAATTCTTCTTAGATTGGATATTTCTAATACATGTAGGCACTTGAAACATGACATTGAGAGAGAATGTTTTTTCTTTTCACATTAAAAAAGTAAATTAAGATGTTGAAGACTTCTTGATCCAGTCTAGACTGCAAATATGGCTAGAGATTTAGTTAACACAGGGGGAAAGTATAAAGAATTCAGACATTATTTTTAATTAATATCTGAATATTTTGGAGTAGGCATTCCTGAACAGGGTATACATAAAATAAATATGTGTGAAACAAGTAGATTCTCTGACCAAGACCATATTAGAAGAGAATTGTATTATACCAACTGAACCAGAGAGTCTTGCCACTGGTCCTTGTTCACTAAAGGAAAGAATATGGACCAGCAGAAAGATATCCATACACATTCTTTGCTCCAGGCAAATGCAATATAGATTTAGTTTCTGAAGATGTGCTTCTCAAGTATAATCTGAGCCAATATAATAGCTTCTCCACAGGAAAATAGCTCAATTACCCACTTATCCCTTGCCTCCAATTCACCTGGTGTGATAGCTGGAAGTACCACCATCACTATCGCTCTAGAGGTTAGGTATAGTACACTGCCTCTGAGAAGAAATACATTAATGGGGGATAGTTTATTTGATTAACTCTTTCCTAGACAAAATGGAAAAGATACCATAGAACAGTACATAGTCGTACGTATTCAAGCAATGAGTTGCCAATGCAGAACAGAAAAAGAGAAAAAAATGCATATTGTGTGCAATTTAATCTTACTGTGTCTAAGGTTAAGTTTTAGCTACATATTCTGCCTCTATTAATTCTTTTCTTGTTTACGGTTTCCTTGGCATGCTTTTTAATTCCTGCAATTCAGCTTTTTATGAAACTATATATTATTAAAATTAACTTCTCTGGTATACTATAAGGGGTTCAATGCCATCCAATTAAGGTTCAATTCTTGGACCCCTTAATAATTAGGTGAACCTGGGCAGAACACTTCACTCAGGACAGGACACATCTATTTCCCTGTCATGCCTTTGGTGTTTTATTTTTTTTTCTTTCTTTTTCTCTTCATCATTGTACTTTATGTTACAATAAACTGTGTTATAGATACCTTTTTAAGGCATTGTGTGAGAGTTCCTCCAGTAGGTAAGTGTTCCTCTACCTTTTCAGGATACAAATGCTGGATAATGGATTATTTGCAGCTTCAACTTAACTAAGCATTGCTGAATGTTTTCTAAAATGTACTTATTATTAACACTTAACAAGAAGTGTATAAGAGTTTTTATTTTCTAATACTAATATATGATATTATGTTACCCTTTAATGTTTTTCAATATTAAGCAAAGGAATTATTTTAATGGTTTCATTTTTTATTTTTTTAAATTACAAATTAGATTGAGCAAATTTTCTTTATTTTTGTCATCACACCTCCAGAAACTGCCTGTATTTATCCCATGCCATTTTATGCAGTTATTCATTTCTTGAAATATTAATGTGTAAGATATATTTATAACTTTCAGATATTATTTTCTATTGCTTAAATACTTGCAAGTGCATCATGCAAATCAAAAGTTGGACTTTTAATTTTTGTTATATTGCCACTTGAAATGATTTCAAATGTACTTACATTTATTTTCTTTCTCTTACATATTTGCTTGTGGGGCCTGATTTAGAAAATCAATGCCTGCTTTGATATTGTATTTTCTTCTAAAGTACTTTAATGTTTGCTTTTCACATTTTTTAATCAACGAGGAACTTCTTGATTGATTGTTTTAAACTTCAAACATAATTTAGCAAATTCAGAAAGGGAAGGAAAATCTATTGTATTTACGCATGTTTTTGCTTTCTCTGTTCTTCCTTCATGATGTTTCAAAGCTTGTTTATTTATTATTTCTATCTTGCTTAAATCATTTACTTTAACGATTATTTTAGGGTGGTTTTGTCAGTGACAAATGCTTAGTCACTGACTAAGCATTGAATGAATGAATTTTCAAATGAATACAAATTCATTTGAAAATGTATTTCCCCTTCATTCCTGAAAGACACTAATGCTAGATATAAAATTCTGAGTTGATAGTTTTTTTTTTTTCCTTTCAGGACTTGATAAGTGTTTCATTTCTCTCTGGCTCTCCCTGATTTTTGGTGAGAAATTCACTATCTTTTAAATATTTTTCCCCTGTAGGTGTTTCTCTCTGCTGCTTCTAAGATATTTCTTCTCTGTCTTTAGTTCACAGTAGTTTGACTATAATGTGGTTTGGCTCGGATTTCTTTGGGTGTATCTTGGTTAAGCCTTGCTCAGCTTTAACAGTCTATAGGTTTATGCCTTTTAGCAATTTAGGATAATTTCAGTTATTATTTATTCAAGCACATTGTTGGCCTCACCCTCCTTCTTCTTTCTTTTTATTTTTTCCTGGACTCTGATGACATTAATGCTAGTTTTTTTGTTATAGTCCCAAGGATCCCTAATGTTTTTCCAATTTTGTTTTTAATTCTTTTTTTTCTATGTTGCATAGATTGGTCAATTTCTATTGTTTTATCATCAAGTTCTCTCATTTTTACTTCTAAGGTCTCCCCTATGTTGTTGAGCCCATCGATTTAGGGTTTTTTTTTTTTTCCACTTCCATTATTGTATTTTTCTGTTTCAATTTTCTTTTTTAAAAATATCTTCTACCTTTTCCTAAATTTTCTATTACTTTGCTGAGAATTTTTTTTTCCATTTCCTTCAAGCATGTTCATTATTGCTTCATAATTGTATTTTTATCATAGCTATTTTTAAAGTTTTGACAGATAATCCTAACATTTATGTCATCTTGCTTTTGGTGTTGGTTGTTCATTTTTTCTCATTCAGGCAAAATTTTCTGAGTCTTTGGTATAATGATGGATTTTACTGAAAGCTAGACATTTTGAGTATTAGTTGTAAGAATGCAAATATTCTTTAAACATTTCATTTTAGCTGCTTTCCTCTGACACTATTCCAGTGGGGGAATGGGAAAGAATGTCACCTTCTACTGTCATGTAGATGTAGAATACAGATTCCCACCTAAGCTCCATTGATATGAGGAAAAGTGAAGGTTTTTTGTTATTGCCCATTGGGGTGGGAGTCCTGACTCCCCTTAGGCCTCTACCTAAAACCCCACCCTATAAGGAGCAGGAGTGCCTTGTTTTTACTACTCTTGTGGCCTCCATGACCTCATGGGGGGATGGCTTGTTAACAGGTTTGTGATGAAGTTTTTTACTCCAACCTGTCCTTCAGCTGCATCTCACTGACTGCAACTGGAGAAAATACTCTGCTTTTAATAGCTTATATGATTAGACATGGCCTACTTGCATAATCTAGGATAAACTCCCTTGTCATAGTTTGTACCCTTAATAACAACAGCAAAATCCATTTTGTCATATGACATGACAGATTCTCAGGTTTCAGGGATTAGGATATGGACATTTAGGGTCATTCTGCTTACCACACTGCAAAATAACCTAGAATGACCCTGTTCAATATAAATAAAATCTGAGTCACTAATGTGAGCATCCATTATAATTGAAAATTTAATATAGTAAAATAAGTTTTAAAATTGGTGAAATTTAGTTTTACTAGTGTATTTTATTTAATCCAATATATCCAAATTATCATTTTAATATAATAGGTAATATAAAATTATTATTCAGATTTTTTTCATTCATTTTCTCATACTAAGTATTTTGTACATACATCTTTATTTTGTCTAGCCACATTCCAAGTGCTGAAAAGCTAAAAGTGGGTTGTGGCTACCATCTTGAACACCTTTGGTTCAGCCTATATTGGTTAATACAATTTAAGATTTTATTTTCTTTATTGGCTTGGTTCAACATTAATTGTAGTGTCAAATTTTTATTGGCCTGATAAGCTACATTTTATTGCTTTGTTCTACTCTGAATGTTTGCATAAATAAAAATAATATGTTTCTTTAAGGATTGTTATAACTAAGTGGGCATAGTGTTTTGGGCTGGGAAGGGGAAAAGTTTTTATTATTAATTCAATTACATTATAGGGTTCTATTTTCTTCAGACTTTATCCTCATTCAGTCAATTTTGATAATTCATAATTTTCTGGAGTATACCAATTTAATTTTTATTTTCAATTATTAAGAATGTCTTATAAATGTATTATTTTATGTAGTTTGATTTTGTTGATCACATTTTTATCTCCATAGCCTTTTGAATCAACTTTTTATGAAGGTAAAAATTATGTAAAATAAAATATACCATTTTTAGTATATAGTTTTAAATTTTGACAAATGTATTTGTCAGTGTAAACAATACCACAATCAGAATATAGAATATTTCTATTATTCCAAAAAGTTTTCTTACACTCCATCTCACTTAATTGTTTCTCCTTTCCTCTAGTCTCTGGCAACCACTGGTCTGTTTTCCATTACTAAGGAATCAGTATATATAGAATTTCATGTAAGTTGAATAATTCAATATGTAGTCTTTTGTGTACAACTGATTACCCTCAGCATCGTGCTTTGCAAATGTATGCTTTAAAAAAAGAGATACAAGAGGATACAATGCAATTTTTATTATGTAGACATATTGCATAGTGATGAAGTCTGGATTTTTAGTGTAACCATTACCTGAATAGTGAACACTGTACCTAACAGGTATTTTTTTCAACCCTCATCACACTTCCACCGTCCTACCTTTTTGAGTCTTCAATGTCTCTTATTCCAATTTATATGTCCATGTGTTCCCATTGTTTAGCTCCCACTTATAAGTGAGAACATGCAGGATTTGACTTTCTGTTTCTGAGTTTACAGACACACCTATATATATGTATATATAAATACACACACACAAACACACACACATATATATTCATTGATCATTCGTTGATACATACTTAAGTTGATTCCATGGCTTTGCTGTGCTGAATAGCACTGTGACAAACACATAAGTGTAGGTGTCTTTCTTATAAAACAACTTTTATCATTGTTTTGGGCAAATACCCAGTAGTGGGATTGCTGGATTGAATGGTAGTCCTATTTTTAGTTTCTTGAGAAATTTCTATACTGTTTCCCATACAGGTTGTACTAATCTACATTGCCGCCAACAGTGTATAAGCATTCCCTTTCCTCCACATCCTAGCCAAAATCTGTTGTTTTTGACTTTTTAGTAATAGCCATTCTGATTGGTGTAAGATGGTATCTTGTTGTGGTTTGAATTTGCATTTCTGATGATTAGTGATGTTGAATATTTTTTCATATGTTTTTTGGGTTCTTGTATGTCTTCTTTTGAAAAGTGTCTATTTGTGTCCTTTTGCCAAATTTATAATGGTGTTGTTTTTCCCTTGTTGCATTATTTGAATACCTTATATACTTTGGATATTAGTCTTTTCTTGGAAGCATAGTTTGAAAATGTTTTCTCTCATTCTGTAGGTTGTTTTAATAAATGTATCAGAAATTCAGTCTTTCTGTTGTTGAGTTGTATTTCATTATGTAGGTGTGCCGCAATTTGCTTACCTATTCACTTTTTGAGTTGCAAAGATTTTTACCTATATCTTTTTGAGGAAAGTGTAAAATTTTACATTTTCTGTTTAGTCTATGGTTTATTTTGATATTTTTTTATGCTCTAAGGGTCAAGGTTAACTTTTCAAAACAAATATACACTTATTTCATAATTTGTTGAAAAGATCAGCCTATTTTCTCCATTTTGAATGAAGTGCAAATCTAGTTCTAGACTTCCTTGGCTTTTAATTATAAGCTATTATAAATCCAGTAACTTTGTTTCACTCTTTTAGTACTATCATCTATTACAGCACCATTGGATTTTCCTATAAATTTCCGTATTAGCTTGTCGATGACATATTTTATTGGCATTGCACAGAATCCATAAATTTTTGTTAACACCTTAATAATATTGTGTGTTTCAGTGTATAAATCTGCATATATTTTTATTAATTTAGGTCATCTTTATTTTCTCTCAGCAATGTTCTACAATTTTTAATATCTTCTGCATATTTTGTTAAATTTATCTCTAAGTATTTTGTGTTTCCAGAGTCTATTGTAAATGCTTTTCTTTTAATTTTAGTTTTCATTTTGTCATTTCTAGGATATAAAAATAAAATTAATTTTGACATAATAACCCTGATTAACTCATTTGTCAGTTCTGAGTTTTTTCTTTCTTTCTTTTTTTTTGGTAGATATTAGAGTTTTATACAATGGTTCAAGTGGGTTGATAGTGTTGTTAGTCTTTTTACTTTTAAACATTTCTGTCTAATTGTTCTATCATTTAGTGACAGAAAAGTGGCACTTGTTTATTTCTCCTTTAAGTTCAATTAACTTTTTGTTCATGTATTTGAAGCTTAGTTATAGAGTACATATACATTTAGGATTACTATGTTTCAATGTTGATTGACTGATGTTCTCCATTATACCTAATAATATTCCTTGCTTGAAACTTATGTTGTGTGATATTAATAATGCCACTTACTCTTTATGATTAGTATTTAAATGACATGTGATTTATTTTTCACAAATATTTCACTATTAATCTAGCTTTTTTTTTTTTTTTTTTTGACAGAGTCTTGCTCTGTCACCCAGGCTGGAGAGTGCAGTGGCATTATCTCGGCTCACTGCAACTTCCGCCTCCTGGGTGCAAGTGATTCTCTGCCTCAGTCTCCCAAATAGCTGGGACTACAGGCACCTGCCACCACACCCATCTAATTTTTGTATTTTTAGTAGAGACAGAGTTTCACCACGTTGGGCAGGCTGGTCTCAAATGCCTGACCTCATGATCTGCCTGCCTTGGCCTCCTAGAGTGCTGGGATTACAGGCACGAGCCACCGTGCCTGGGCTCTTTTTCTTTATGTTAAAGACATTTAGAAAAAAAGTAGAGTAAGATGCAGAATAGAAGGCCCCACTAAACATTTCCCCCTGCGGGGACACCAAATTCAACAACTATCTATCTATCTATCTATCTAACTATCTATCTATCTAAAAAGCATCATTGTAAAAATGAAAAATCAGTGAGCACTCATGGTACCAGGTTTTAACGTCATATCACTGAGAGAGGTACTGAAGAGAGTGCAAAAGACAGTCCTGAATTGCTGCTGCCACCCTTCCCTCGTCCCCCTCCCACTAGTCATGCCCACATTGGCCATGTGGCATGGAGAAATCTGTACTTAGAAGAGGGAAAGCATAGCAATTTTAAGATTTCACATTAAATTCACTGCTGCTCTGTCACAGTGGAAAGAAAAACCAGGCTAAACTTAGCTGATGCTTGCCCATGGAGGAAACATTCAGACCAATCCTACATAGAGAGGAATCGCCCATCCCAGTGGTCAGAACTTGAGTTCCAGCAAGCCTCACCACCATATGATAAAATTCTCTGGGACCCTAAATAAACTTGAAAGACAGCTGAGGCCACAAGGACTATCAGTCCTAGTACTAAGCTGGGCTCAGAGCCAGTGGACTTGGAGGGTCACATGACTTAACTAAGATACCTTAATAATGGGTGCCACTATTGTGCTTGTGTCACTTCCTCCCCACAACCCCAGGCAACACAGCTTGTGGCTCCAAAAGAGACCACCTCCATCCCCTTGAGGAGAGAAGAGGGAAGAGTAAAGAGGACTTTTCTTTTGCATTTTGGATACCAGCTCAGCCACAGCAGGATAGGGCATCAGTTAGAATCAAGAGACCCCCATTCCTTGCCCTACCTCCCAGATGACATTTCTAAAAATGCCTGGTGACAGAAAGGAATCGACTGTCTTGAAGGAAATAATGCAATCCTTGAATAACCTATTGCCTGCTGCTTGAAAAGCCCTTGGGCCTTGAGAAACCAGCAGCGATATCCAGGTAGTATGACATGGTCTTGGGTGAGACTCTGAGATGTCCTGGCTTCAGGTGAGACCCAGCACTTTCCTAGCTATGGTGGCTATGGTGAGACTCCTTCTGCTTCAGAAAAGCAGAGGGAAAATAAAAAGGGAGTTTGTCTTGCATCTTAGGTACCAGCTCAGCCACAGTGGGGTAGGGTATCAAGCAGACTCTTGGGGTTGCAATTCTGGGCTTTGGCTCTTGGATGGTATTTCTGGACCTGCTCTGAGCCAGTGGGGGGCCCACTACCCTGAAGGGCAAGTAAAAGGCCCAGCAACCTTTGTCACAAGTTGACTGAAGAGCCCTTGGACCTTAACTGACCATTAGTGGTGACCTGTCTGTATTCTCCATGGGCTTATTACGCTGGTAGTGACCATAGGTTGAAGCTCCCCTGCCTGTGGAAATGGGAGGCAAGAGTACGAAGTACTGTGTCTCATGGTTTGAAAGCCAGCTCAGCCACAGTAGATAAGAGTAACGGATAGACGTATAAGGTTTCTGATTCCTGTCCCTAGCTCCTGGATAGCATCTCTAGACCCACCAGGTACCTGGAGGAACTTGCCACACTTAAGGGAAAGACACAAGCATGGCTGTCTTTGCCACCTGCTCATTGCAAGTCCTTGAGAAAACATTGGCAGTTACCAGGTAGTGGTTACCGTGGGCTTTAGGTAAGACCCAGTGCTGTGCTGGCTTCAGTTCTAACCCAACAAAGTCCAAGTGGTGGTGGCCACCAGGGTGCAATGACTGCAAAGACTATAATAAATACCTAACTCTTTAATGCCCAGAAACTGACAAATATCCACAAGCATCAAGACCATCTAGGAAATCATGACCTCACCAAATGAACTAAATAAGGCACCAGAGACCAATCCTACACAGACAAGGAATTCAGAATTCTATCAGATAGATTTAACAAAGAGGACAAGAGGCAAAAACAAGAGGGCAGAATAAAAAACTCCACTGATCGTCCTCCCCACAAGGACACCAAGTTAACAGCTATCTACACAGAAAAATCACCTTTATAAGAACCAAAAATAGTTGAGCACTCGTACCTGGTTTTAACTTCATGTTACTGAAAGAGACACTGAAGAAATACAAAAAAAAAAAAAAAGAAGTCCTGAATCACAGACACAACCTTTCCTCACTCTTAGCAGTGGTGACATGGTGCGGAGAGTACTCTGGGTGTTGGGGGAAGATGAACACAGGAATTTTGAGCATTGAATGCAATGCTGTCCTGTTAGAACAGAAAGGAAACCCATACCAAACTCAATGGACACCAACCCACAGAGGGAGCATTTAAACCAGTCCTAGCCAGAGGGAAATTACTGATCCCAGCAGTCTGAACTTGGGTGCCCACACACCTCACCACTGAGGGCCAAAGTACTTTTGGTATCTAAGTAAACTTGAAAGGCAGTGTAGGCCATAGGACCACTATGCTTAGGCAATCCCTAGGGCTGAACTAAGCCCAGATACAGTGGGCTGGGTGGCAGGGGGATGCAACATACTGAGACAGCAGCTGGGGCAGCCAAGGGAATGCTGGCATCTACCCTTCCATAACCCTGGACTTCACAGCTCACGGCTCAAAAAGAGACCCCTTCCTTCTGCTTAAGGAGAGGCAGAAGAGTGGGGAAGACTTTGTCTTGTATCTTGGAAACAAGCTCAGCCACAGTAGAATAGGGCACTGATCAGATTCACGAGGCCCCCATTCTAGGGCCTAGCTCCAAGATGACATTTCTAGACACACCCTGGGGCAAATGGGATTTGCTGCCTTGAAGGAAAGAATCCAGTTCTGCCAGCATTCATCACCGGCTAGAGGTAAAGACCCCTTGGGCCCTGAATAATCAGCAGCAATATGTAGGTACTATATCGAGGGCCTTGGTCAGCTTCTGAGACTCTCTGGCTTCATGTGAGACTAGGCAAATTAATAGCTGTGCTGGCTGCAGGGCAAAACCCCTTCTGCTTGAGAAAAGCAGAGGGAAAAATAAAGTGGACTTTGTCTTGCACCTTAGGTACCAACTCCTCCACAGAGGAGTAGAGAACCAAGCAGGCTCTTGGCTACCTGATTCTAGGACTTGACTCTTGGATGGCATTTCTGGACCTTCCCTGGGCCAGAGTAGAGCCCATCGCTCTGAAGGGTGAGTCCCAGGCCAGCCAGTATTCACCACAAGCTGACTTAAGAGATACTGGGCCTTAAGGGAACATGGGTGGTAGTCTAGCAGTACTCCTTGTGGCCAGGGGTGGCAGTGACCACCAACTGAGGCTCCTTTGCCTTTAGAAAGGGGAAGAAAGAGTGGGAAGAGCTGCAACTTGTGGTGTGAGTGCCAGCTCAGCCTCAATACAATGGAACACCAGTTAGAATTATAAGGTTTTTGAATCTAATCCCTGACTCCCAGGTGGCACTTCTGAACTTACCTGGGGCCTGAGGGACCTTGCCACCATGAAGGCAAGAACATAGGCTTGGCTAGTTTTGCCTCCTGCTGATTGTAGGGCCCTAGGGCTTTGAATGAACATAGGCAGTAGCCAGGGTGTAGTTACAGTAGGCCTTGGTCAAGACTTAGTGCTGTGCTGGCTTAAGGTCTAACGTAGCACAGTGACAGTGGTGGTGGCCACAGGGGTGCTTGTGTCACTCCAACCCCAGCTTTGGGTGTCTCAAGGCAGAAAAAGAAAGAGAGAGAGAGAGACTCTCTATATTTGGGACAAAGTAAGGGAAGAGAATAAGAGTCTCTACTTGGTAATCCAGAGAATTCTCCCAGATCTTGTCCAGGACCATTAAAGTAGTACCTCTATGGGTCTGCAAGAACTACATTGCTCCTGGAATTGGGGTGCTCTCTAAAGCAGGAATCATCTAGATCACAACACCCAAGTCCTTTCAAATATCTGGAAAGCCTTCCCAAGAATGACAGCTACATATAAGCCCAGACAGTGAAGATGACAATAAATACCTAACCCTTCCCTACCCAGACACTGAAGATCATTCACTAACATCAACACCATCTAGGAAAACTTGACCTCACCAAATGAACTAAAGAAGGCATCAGGGAAAAATTCTGGAGAAACAGAAATGTGTGACCTTTCAGACAGATATTTCCAAATAGCTGTATTGAGGAAGCTCAAAACAATTCAAGATAACACAGAAAAGGAATTCAGAATTCTGGCATTTAAATTTAACAAAAAGATTAAAATAATTATAAGGAATCAAGTGGAATTCTAGAGCTGGAAAATACAACTGGCATTCTGAAGAATGAATTAGAATCTTCTAATAGTAGAATGGATCAAGCAGAAGAAAGAATTACTGAGCTTGAAGGCAGGCTATTTGAAAATACACAGTCAAAGGAGACAAAAGAAAAAAGAATAAAAAAGTATGCCTACGGGATCTAGAAAACAGTCTGAAAAGGGCAAATCCAGGGGTTATTGCCCTTAAAGAGGAGGAAGAGAAAGAGATAGGTAGAAAATAAACTTTCTACCTAAGTTTATTCAAAGGGATAACAACAGAAAACTTCCCAAACCTAGACAAGACATCAATATCCAAGTACAAGAATATGTAGATACAGATATAGAACACCAAGTAGATTTATCCCAAGGAAGTCTAACTCAAGACCCTTAATATCAAACTCCCAAAAATTAAGTATAAAGAAAGGATTCTAAAACCAGCAAGAGAAAAGAAACAAATACCATACAATAAAGTACTAATACATTTGGCAGCAGACTTTTCAGTGGAAACTTTACAGCTCAGGGGAGAGTGGCATGACATATTTTAAAGTGCTGAAGGAAAATAACTTTTACTTTACAATAGTATATCTGGTGAAAATATCTTTCAAACATGAAGGAGAAATAAAGACTTTCCCAGACAAACAAAATCTAAGAGATTTCATTAACACCGGGTCTATTCTACAAGAAATGCTAAAGGGAATATTTCAAATCAGAGAGAAAAGGATCCTAATGAGCAATAAAAAATCATCTGACTGTGCAAAATTCACTGGCAATAGTGAGTACACAGAAAAACACAAACTATTACAACACTGTAACTATGGTGGGTGAACTACTTTTACTCTAAGTAGAAAGACTAAACAATGAACCAATAAAAACTAATAGCTACAACTTTTAAAGGCATAGTCAGTAAGGTAAGATATAAATAGAAATAATAAAAAGTTAAAAAGTGGGGAGATAAACTGTAGAGTTTCTATTAGTTTTCTTTTTCCTTGTTAGTTTGTTTATGCAAGCATTAAGTTGTTATCAGCATAAAATAATGGGTTGTAAGGTATTATTTGCAAGTGTAATAGTAACCTCATATCAAAACATACAATGGATACACAAAAAATAAAAAGAAATTAAATCATACCACCATAGAAAATTACCTTCAGTGAAAGGACAGAAAGGAAGAAAAAAAGGAAGACACAATCATGAGAATACTAGAAAAAAATAACAAAATGGCAGAGTAAATTCCTACTTATAAATAATCACATGGAATGTAGAGGAACTAAACTCTCCAATAAAAAGACGTAAAGTCGCTGAATGGATATAAAGAATGGGACCCAATGATCCGAGACCTACAAGAAACACACATCACTTATAAAGACACCAAAAGACTGAAAATAAAGGGATGGAAAAAGATCTTCTATGCCAATGGAAGCCAGGAAACAGCAGAAGCATCCATACTTATATCATACAAAATGACTTCAACATCTCACTTTCAGTGGATAGATCTTCCAGACAGAAAATCAACAAAGAAACATCAGACTTTTAATGTGCACTATAGACCAAATGGATCTAATATATATAACAGAACATTTTAGCCAACAGCTACAGAATACACATTCCTCTCCTCAGCATATGGATCATTTTCAAAAGATGACCATTCAATGAAGAAATTAGGAAGAAAATTTAAAATAGTCTTGAAACAAATGATAATGGAAACATGACATACCAAAACCTATGGGATACAGTGAAGGCAGTAGCAAGATGGGAGTTTATAGCTATAAGCATCTACATTAAAAAAGAAGAAAACTTTCAAATAAACTGAATGATGCAACTGAAAGGACTAGAAAAGCAAGTGAAACCAAACCCAGGATCAGTAGAAAAAAATAAATAATAAAGATCAGCGTAGAGATGGATAAAATTGAGAAGAAGAAAACAATATAAAAGACCAATGAAATAAAAAGTTTTTTCAAAAGATAAAATTGACAAATCTTTTGCCATATTGAAAAAATAAAAAAGATAGAAGACCCCCCAAAATAACATCAGAGATGAAGGAGGAGACCTTACAACTGATACTTTAGGAATTTAAAGGATCATTAGTGGCTACTATGAGTGACTATACACCAATAAATTGGAAAATCTAAAAGAAATGGGTAAATTTTTAAGCACAAACAACCTACCAGGATTGAACCATGAAAAAATCGAAAACTTGAACAGACCAATAATAATTAACAAGATCGAACTCATAATACAATATCTCTTAGCAGAGAAAATCCCAGGACCTAATGACTTCACTGCTGATTTCCACTGAACATTTAAAGAACTAATACGAATCTTACTCAAACTAGTCTAAACAATATAGAACAAGGAAGCACTTCCAAACTTGTTCTAAGAGGCCAGATTTACCCTGATACCAAAACCAAAGACACATCAATAAAACTACAGGCAAATATCTTTGATGAATATTGATGAAAAATCTTTAACAAAATACTGGAAAACCAAATTCAACAACATATTAAAAAGATCATTCATCAGGACCAAGTGGGATTTATTCCAGTGATGCAAGAAAGGTTCAACATACACAAATCAATCAATGTGATACATCATATCAACAGAAGGAAGGACAAAAAATACCTGATCACTTCAATTGATGCTGAAAATCTTGATAAAATTCAACATCTCTTCATGATGTTGAATTCATAAACTCTTAAAAAATTGTTTATGAAAGGAGCATAACTCAACATAATAAAAACCATGTATGACAGATCTATAGCTAGTACCAAATTGAAAGGGGAGAATTTGAAAGCCTTTCCTCTAAAAACTGGAGCATGACAAGGATGTCCACTTTCACCACTGTTATTTCAACATAGTACTGGAAGTCCTAGCTAGAGCAATCAGACAAGAGGAAGATATAAAGGGCATCCAGATTGTAAAGGAAGAAGTCAAATTGTCCATGTTTGCAGATGATATGAGCTTAACTTGGGAAAACCTAAAGACCCCACAAGAAAACTATTAGAACTAATAAATTCAGTAAAGTTGCAGGATATAAAATCAACTCTAAAAAATTAGTAAAATTTCTATATGCCAACAGCCAACAATCTATAGAAGAAAGCAAGAAAGTAATCCCATTTACAGTAGCTACAAATAAAATCAAATCTTTAAGAATTAATGAAATAAGTGAAAGATCTCTGTGATAAAAATTATAAAACATTGATGCAAAAAACCAAAAGATACCAGTGTTCATGAATTGGAAGAATCATTATTGTTAAAATGTATATACTGTCCAAAGCAATCTACAATTCAATGCAATTTCTATTAAATTACCAATAACATTCTTCACAGAAATAGAAATAAACAAGGCCAAAATTTATATGGAAACACAAAATATCCAGAGTAACCAAAACTGTCTTCAGCAAAAAGAACAAAACCTGAAGATTCACATTACCTGAGTTCAAATTACACCTCAGAGCTATAGTAACCAAAATAGCATGGTGCTGGCCTAAAAACAAACACACAGACCAATAGAACAGAACAGAGAACTTAGAAATAAATTTATACAACTATAGTGAACTCATTCTTGACAAAGAGTCTAAGAACATACATTAGGGAAAGGATAGTCCTCAATAAATATGTGCTGGGAAAACTGGATATTCATATGCAGAAGAATAAAACTGGACCCCTATCTTTTGCAAAATATACAAAAATCAAATCAAAATGGGTTAAAGACTTAAATCTAAGACCTCAAACTGTGAAAAGAAAACATAGGGGAAACCCTTTAGGACATTGGTCTGGGCAATGATTTCTTGAATAATACCCCACAAACACAGGCAACCAAAGCAAAAGTTGAAAACTGGGATCACATCAAGTTAAAAAGCTTCTGCACAACAAAGGAAATAATCAACAAAGTGAAGAGACAACCCACAGAATGAGAGAAAATATTTGCAAACTACCTATCTAACAAGAGATTAATAAACAGAACATGTAAGGAGCTCAAACAACTCTATAGGAAAAAAAAAAACCCAACAATCCAATTAAAAGATGGGTAAAAGAGCTGAATAGATAGTCTTCAAAAGAAGATGTGCAAATGGAAAAAAGGTTTAGAAAAAGCTTAACGTCACTGATCATCAGAGAAATGCAAATCAAACCTACAATGAGCTATTATTAAAATGTCTTTTATCCAAATGACAGGCAATAAGGAATGCTGGCAAGGATGTGGAAAAGAGGGAACACCTGTACACTGTTGATGGGAATGTAAATTAGCACAACCACTCTGGAGAACAGTTTGGAGGTTCCTCAAAAACTTAAAATAGAGCTACTTTATCAAAATATCTTATGTAACCCATAAATATATACACCTATTTTGTACCCACAAAAATCAAAATTTCAAAACAGGCATTAAATTGACTTTCTTTTAGGCAGCATAGAAGTATAGAAGTTTTTTTTTAATTAATTAATTAATTTTTTAAGAGATGGAGTCTCATTAGGTTGCCCAGTCTGAACTTCAACTCCTGGGCTCAAGCAACCCTCTCAGCTCAGTTTTTGGAGTAACTGGGACTACAGCTACTGTGTGTGCCACAGTGCCTGGGATACCCAAGACTGGGTAATTTATAAAGAAAAAGCAGCTTAATGGACTCACAGTTCCACATGGCTGGGGAGGCCTCACAATCATGGCAAAAGGCTAAAGGCAAGTCTTACATGGCGGCAGAGAAGAGAGAATGAGAACCAAGTGAAAGGAGTTTCCCCTCATAAAACCATCAGATCGCATGAGACTTATTACCACGTAAACAGTATGGGGCAAACCGCCCCCCATGATTCAATTATCTCCCACTGGGTCTCTCCCACACACATAGGAATTAAGGGGGTTCAGTTCAAGATAAGATTTGGGTGGGGACAGAGCCAAACCATATCGTGAGGTTTCACTGAATATTTTGGATCTGTAATTTTATAATATTCTTCAAATTAGAACATTTTCCCCAATAATTATTTAAATATTTTCCTAGCCGTCTTCTTTCTCTTTTTTTCCATTGGGTTTTTTATGACACCTATGCTAAACTACTTAATATTTTGTCCATAGTTTCTGAGTCTCCAAACTCCTCCTCCCCCTCCTTCTCTTTCTCCTTCTTCTTGTTCTTTTTCTTATTTTTTCGTTTCCATTCAACTTATTCTTATTCTCCTTCTCCCCTCCTCAACCCTCATCTTATTCTCTTCCTCCTCCTCCTTGTCTTATTTTTTGGGAGTAATTTTTCTCCATGTGTTGCAGTTTAGATATTTTCTATTTCTCTGTCGAGTTCGCTCATCTTTCTCCTTCAGTGTCTAATTTTCTGGAAGTCCCTCCAAGATATTGTAGAACTCCTCTGATTTGTTTTTCTTCCTTATGGATCACAGTTCTTTGCTGCATCTTGTCCAATGTCTGACAAGAGTTCTTTTACATATTTTATAGTTTCTAACTGCTCACAGTAGAAAATCAAAACCTGTACCAGTCATATGTATGTTTTAAAATTATCACACAGTAAAATTGGTTATTTTGGTTTGCACAATTCTTTGATTTTATTACATGCTTAGATTCTTGTATCTACCATCACAATCAAGATAGACAGTTTCATTACTCCAAAAAGCTCCCCTCTGATTTGTATGGATACTCTTCCACAAACTTTAACCCCTAATAACAATGAATCTCTTCTCATATTTTGAAAATGATACATAAGTTCAATCTAAATGTTTTCTACCCCTGTTTGAGCTCTGGGAATCGATCAGTTTATAGCTCCCCAGCAGTCCTTTTCTTCGCCCTCCCTTATGGAGTTTTATTTTCTAATATGCTAATTAGTATATGTGGACTCATGCAGTATGTAACCTTTTCAGAATACATAGTTTCACTCAACATAGAACTATTGACATTCAACAAAGTTCTTTCATAGATCAAAAATTTATTTCTTTTTAATTGGTTAGTAGTATTCCATGTATGAATGTGGCACAGCTCTAATTTTTTAATCTCTTCACCTGTTGAAGAACATTTGGGCTGTTTATAGTTTTGGGGATTTTGAATAGAACCCTTGTAAACATTTATGTACAAGTTTTTGTGTGACCATACATTTTCACCCAGGTATGGGGTTGCTGGGTCAAACGGTAGTGCATGTTCAACTTTCTAAGAAATGGCAAAAAGTGATTTTCAGAGAGGCTGTAGCATTTTCTATTGCTAATAATAATGTATGACTAGTTAGTATGTATGTTTGTATTGTCGGTAAATGTGTATATTGCAAGAACTTTTTATTTGGCCATTTTAATGGGTGTGCAGTTGTATATAGTTTATAGTGGTTTTAATTTGGACTTCCCTCATACCTATTGATATCAAACATCTTTTTATGTGCTCTAAGTATACTTTTAAAATTAAAATTGTTATATATGTATGAGCAACATAAACATTTATTTTAAATAATAGTTTTTATCTAATTAGTTATGTGTGAAATAAATTTATGACTGATTTGTAGACTTTGATACTGTCTTTCTTATTATTAAATATTTTCATATGTTTTGGGATTTTATTTTGAATTTGCAATTGGAATATTATTTTGTTTTTATGTTAATATTGTACTGGTCTTGTTGTTTTTCTCTTTCTAATACTCCCTATCCAGTGGTTTTTGCAATTTTATGGTTTTCTTGATGACACCACTCATTACCCAGCCACTCCTTACCCTCATCCAAACCAGAGTTTCTGACTTCCATTATAGACAGAATTTCGTTTAAGTGGTTTGATAACTATCGCTTATGTATTCTATTTCTAGTGGAAACTTTAACCTTGGTTTCTAATACTAATTTTGGTGTCTGCTAGGCAGCACTTTGGGTCTGGGTCAGTATACAACCTATTTCCCAGACCTCCATTCTTCATTCCCAGTCTGGAGTACAGCCACTATATAACTTCTATTCCATTTAGGATTTTGCACTTTCTGCTCAGTTTATGAGATTTTGAGATAGTTATCTAGTTTTAAATCTCAATAACACATTTTAGTTAGTCATTTTAATATATTTTCTCTACATGGTCATAATTTGGAGCAGAAGTTTCTCTCAAATTTAGGGGTCATTTGGAATTTCCCAAAGTGATCTTTATGGTTTATACTGACTTTAAGATTTTTTAATATATATTATATATAATACATATAATATATAATATATAACTTTAAGATTTTTAATATATAATAAATATATAATATATAAATGTATAATATAATATGTAAAAATATATTATATAATATATAATATAAATATGTAATATAATATATAAATATATATTATATATGTACCTCATTTACCTAAAGCCTCAAATTACTGTATATAATGTGTAACACTTATTAATATGTTCTCATTCTATGATAGTGTTATTCTACATTCACACAGCACATTAATATAAAAGAATTTTCTTTATTATTTTATTTTATAATTTCTTTAGTATTTCTTTTTCAAGTCATAGAAAACATTGGTATATAAATGTAATATATGCCCTACATTAAGGAAAGTGCATCAATTCTTCCATATAGGCCTTCAACAACATACCCAGATTCACCTTCCTAACTGATAATATTCGTAGAGAAAGTTGAGAATTTTCAGAATTTTAGAAAGATTGGTTCAAATTAAGTTTGAGGAATTACATAAATTTAAGTAAATTTCTGGATAAAAGCTGTTTCTCACATCATAAGAAAACTGCTTAGTGTGTGGGTTGAGGAGAGAATAAGAATAAACAGGTCAGTCCTTCAGAATCCGTCCAGAAAAATTAAGCATATATTGGGTTTTGCATCAAAAGTAGTCATGGGCCATGAAAGACAAATACATCTACTTCATTGCTTTACCTTAGCTCAGATTTGCTTACCTGTGATGCCTTGCAAATGTGTTGTTTGTGTAAAGTAAATGAGTTACATAAGCATGAAAACATGGTTTAATAGAAGAGTTATGTATCTGATAATCAGATATTAATATATTTTACCAAAAGCTTATATTAAGAGTTTTTAATTTAGAAATTACTAAGACCAAAGTCCAACTCATTATAAGGAATTAGCAATAGGTACTCCAAAAAATTGTTTTTCCCTAATTATATTTTATCGTTGTTTGCTATTCAAAAAATATCTGATTAAAGTCTGGATTTCTACTCTAAACATAGTATTAATAATTAAGAGAAATTTTATGTGGAACTAATCAGCATATAAGTTTTTCTGATTTATATATTTTTTTGAATTATGAATACTAGAAAGAATAGTAACTTTTTCACTATAGGTTATATACAATGCTCATACTATTTTATTTTATTTTTTATAGCAGGTATATAAAATTGCTTTATGGAAACTTTTCATCAGAGATATAAATGAAATCTTCCAAACAACATAGGTTAAATAATTTTATAATATAGATGAAGAAAAACTTAAACAGATAATATGAGTATGTGTAACACCAAAGTTATAGATACAATTCTAAAAAAAAAAGTTACTAGCTCTCCCCTATTCAAACTTTAGCCCATAAAATAATTTTCTCTCTACACCCTTTTTATAGCATTCTTAAATTTCAACTCCACAAATTTAAGAAACATACAGTGATGATTTCTGTCATGGCAGTCTAAGCTAGCTTTTATATCTTTACTGATATCTGTTTACTTGCTCTATCCATTACTGAGAGAGAGGTTTTAAAATCTTCAACTACAATTGTGAATTTGTCTTTTTGCAGTTCTATCAGTCGTTGCTTCTTATATCATGAAGCTGTTTTAGAAGAGACGTAAACATTTAGGGTTATTATGTTTTCTTGATAAATTGAGCCTTTTATTATTATGAAATGACATTCTTTATCCAAGATAAAACTCTTACTCTAAAACCTTAGTCTGATATTAATATAAGCTACTCCAGCTTTCTTTTGACTAGTATAGTTAATATGGTATCTTATTCTATACTTTTATTGTAAAGCTCTTAGGTTGTTATGAAGTGGGCTTCTTGTAGGCATTGAAAAATTGTACATTGTTTATTTATCCAATCTGATAATCTCTTGTAATTTAGATGTTTAAATATTTACATTTAATATGATTATGGATACATTTGAGTTTTATTTTACCATCTTACTCTTGTTTCCATATGTCTAATCTTTATTCTTTTTCTCTGCTTTTTAAAAATTAATTGAATCTAATTTACACTCCGACCAATAGTGTAAAAGTGTTCCTATTTCTCCACATCCTCTCCATCACCTGTTGTTTCCTGACGTTTTAATGATCGCCATTCTAACTGGTGTGAGATGGTATCTCACTGTGGTTTTTATTTGCATTTCTCTGATGGCCAGTGATGATGAGCATTTTTTCATGTGTCTGTTGGCTGCATAAATGTCTTCTTTTGAGAAGTGTCTGTTCATAAACTTCACCCACTTTTTGATGGGGTTGTTTGTTTTTTTCTTGTAAATTTGTTTGAGTTCTTTGTAGATTCTGGATATTAGCCCTTTGTCAGATGAGTAGATTGCAAAAATTTTCTCCCATTCTGTAGGTTGCCTGTTCACTCTGATGGTAGTTTCTTTGACTGTGCAGAAGCTCTTTAGTTTAACTAGATCCCATTTGTCAATTTTGGCTTTTGTTGCCATTGCTTTTGGTGTTTTAGACATGAAGTCCTTGCCCATGCCTATGTCCTGAATGGTATTGCCTAGGTTTTCTTCTAGGGTTTTTATGGTTTTAGGTCTAACGTGTAAGTCTTTAATCCATCTTGAATTAATTTTTGTATAAAGTGTAAGGAAAGGATCCAGTTTCAGATTTCTATATATGGCTAGCCAGTTTTCCCAGCATCATTTATTAAATAGGGAATCCTTTCCCCATTGCTTGTTTTTGTCATGTTTGTCAAAGATCAGATAGTTGTATATATGCAGCATTATTTCTGAGGGCTCTGTTCTGTTCCATTGATCTATATCTCTGTTTTGGTACCAGTAGTACTATGCTGTTTTGGTTACTGTAGCCTTGTAGTATAGTTTGAAGTCAGGTAGTGTGATGCCTCCAGCTTTGTTCTTTTGGCTTAGGATTGACTTGGAGATGCGGGCTCTTTTCTGGTTCCATATAAACTTTAAAGTGGTGTTTTCCAGTTCTGTGAAGAAAGTCATTGGTAGCTTGATGGGGATGGCATTGAATCTATAAATTACCTTGGGCAGTAGGGCCATTTTCACGATATTGATTCTTCCTACCCATGAGCATGGAATGTTCTTCCATTTGTTTGTATCCTCTTTTATTTCCTTGAGCAGTGTTTTGTAGTTCTCCTTGAAGAGGTCTTTCACATCCCTTGTAAGTTGGATTCCTAGGTATTTTATTCTCTTTGAAGCAATTGTGAATGGGAATTCACTCATGATTTGGCTCTCTGTTCGTCTGTTATTGGTGTATAAGAATGCTTGTGATTTTTGCACATTGATTTTGTATCCTGAGACTTTGCTGAAATTGCCTATCAGCTTAAGGAGATTTTGGGCTGAGACAATGGGGTTATCTAGATATACAATCATGTAATCTGCAAACAGGGACAATTTGACTTCCTCTTTTCCTAATTGAATACCCTTTATTTCTTTCTCTTGTCTGACTGCCCTGGCCAGAACTTCCAACACTATGTTGAATAGGAGTGGTGAGAGAGGGCATCCCTGTCTTGTGCCAGTTTTCAAAGGCAAGTCAGTGTGGTGATTCCTCAGGGATCTAGAACTAGAAATACCATTCAACCCAGCCATCCCATTACTGGGTATATACCCAAAGGATTATAAAGCATGCTGCTATAAAGACACATGCACACGTATGTTTACTGTGGCACTATTCACAATAGCCAAGACTTGGAACCAACGCAAATGTCCAACAATGATAGACTGGATTAAGAAAATGTGGCACATATACACCATGGAATACTATGCAGCCATAAAAAATGATGAGTTCATGTCCTTTGTAGGGACATGGATGAAACTGGAAACCATCATTCTCAGCAAACTATCTCAAGGACAAAAAACCAAACACCGCATGTTCTCACTCATAAGTGAGAATTGAACAATGAGAACACTTGGACACAGGAAGGGGAACATCACACACTGGGGCCTGTTGTGGGGTGGGGGGAGGGGGGAGGGATAGCATTAGGAGATATGCCTAATGTTAAATGACGAGTTGATGGGTGCAGCACACCAACATGGCACATGTATACATGTGTGACAAACCTGCACATTGTGCACATGTACCCTAAAACTTAAAGTATAATAAAACACACACACACACACACACAAATAATTGAATCGTATTTTATGATTTATTTTTATTTTATTTGTTGCTTCATTAGCTAACACTCTTTTTGTCAATTTAGTGATTGATTGTTGCTTTATAGTATATATGTTTGATTTATTGCTGCCTAACTTAAAGTTATATTGTATCACCCAGGTGTGGTCTACGAATCTTATAATCCTATACATCTATTTATTTCCCCTAGTCTTTGTGCTAAAGTTGTCATAAACTTTTGATAATTGCTATAAAATTCATAATATATTTTAAGTACATTTTTATTATTTTTGCTTTAAACTGTTGATTATCTTTTAAGTAGATGTAATGATGAAATAAAATACATTTATCCACATAGTTACTATCCCTAGTTTCTGCATTCATTTTGTAGACATATATTCCCGTTTTATATTATTTTCCATCACTGTGAAGGTTTTCTTTTGACATTTCTTATGTTCAGGTATATTGGTGATAATTTTTCTTTCCTTTTTTCTTTTTTTTGAAACAGGCTCTCACTCTGTCACCCAGGCTGGAGTGCAGTGGCATGATTATGGCTCACTCCAGCCTTGACCTCCTAAGCTTGAGTAGTCCTTCGCAACTCAGCCTCCCAAGTAGCTAGGACTACAGGTGTGCACCACCATGCCCAGATAATTTTTGTATCTTTTGTAGAGGCGAGGTTTCATCAGGTTGCCTAGGCTGGTCTTTAACTCCTGGGCTCAACTGATCTGCCTGCCTTGGCCTCCCAAAATGCTGGGATTTTCATTATTATTTTTAACTATAGCCATCCTATAGTGGTATAGAACACTAGGACTGTTTCTTGTTATCCAGCTGTAATTTTGTATACTTTAACAAATTTCTCTCTATTCCCCCTTTCACCCTACCCTTCCCAGTTTCTAGTATCCTCTGTTACACTTTTTAATTCTAGAGATCAATATTTAATACTTTCATATATGAGTGAGAACATGTAGTGTTTAACTTTCTGTTCCTGGCTTAACATAATGTCTTCTAGCTCTGTACATGTTGCCACAAATGACAAATTTTATTCTTTTTGATGGCTGAATAGTATTCCATTATGTATCTATATCATATTTTCTTTATCCATTCATTTGTTTTTGCAAGTTTAGGTTGATTTCATATCTTGACTATTATAAATAATGCTGTGGTAAACATGGGGATATAGGCATCTCTTCAATATACTGATTTATTTTCTTTTGGATAAATGCCCAGTAATGGAATTGATGGATAATATGGTAGTTCTATTTTTAGTTTTTTGAGGTACCTCCACACTGTTCCTTATAGTGGCTGTACTAGTTTAAATTTTTACCAACAATATTTAAGAGTTTATTTTCTCTGTATCCTTGTCAGCATTTGTTATTTTTTGTCTTTTTGATGATAGCCATCCTACCTGGAGTGAGAAGATACCTTATTGTGGTTTTGACTTACATTTCCCTGATGATTAGTGGTGTTAGGCATTTATTTAATGTGTTTTTTTTGTTGTTGTTATTTGTATGTCTTCATCTAAGAAATGTCGATTGGGATCCTTTGCCCCTTTTAAACTCAGATTGTTGTTTTGTTGTTAAGATGTTTGAGTTTGTTCTACATTCTGATATTGATTGTCTGTTGAATGAATGACTTGCAAATGTTTTCTCCCATTTTGTAGTCTTTTGAGTCTTTTGTTTCCTTTACTGTGCAAAAGCATTTTAGTTTGATTATATAATCTCATTTATATATTTTTGTCTTTGTTTACTGTGCTTATGAGGTCTTCATTACAAAATCATTTCCCAGATAATTGTCATGAACTGTTTTCTTTATGTTTTGTTCTAGTAATATTATAGTTTTGGGTCTTACATTTAGGTCACTAAACTATTTGGGGTTGATTTTTACATAGGGTAAGAAGTGGGGATCTAGTTTCATTCCTCTGCATATAGATATCCAGTTTTTCTAGCATCATTTATTGAAGAGACTGTCCTTTCTCCAATGAGGGTTCTTGGTACCTTTGTCAAAAATCAATTGGATGTAGATATATGAATAAATTTCTAGGTTCTCTATTCCGTTCAACCAGTTTATGTGTCTGTTTTTATATCACTACTATGTTGTTTTGGTTACTACAGCTTGGTAATACATTTTGAAATCTAGTAGTGTGATGTTTCTAGCTTTGTTCTTTTTCCTCAGTATTTCTTTGATTATTCTTTGTCTTTTGTAGTTTCATACACATTTTAGGATTTTTTTTCTGTTTCTGTGAAGAATTTTATTGGTATCTTAATAGGGATATCATCAAATCTATAGATTACTTTGGATAGTAAGGTCATTTTAACAATATAAATTTTTCTAATCCATGAACATACGATGTTTTTACATTTATTTGTATCTTCTTCCATTTATTTCATCAATGTGTTGCAGTTTCACTTGTAGATGTCTTTCACTCCATTGGTTAAATTTATTCCTAGGTAAATTTTTTGGTAGATATTTTAAGTGGGATTGCCTTCTTGATATCTTTTTCAGCTAGTTTGTTCTTTGTATACATAAATACTACTAACTTTTACTTGATTTTGTATCCTGCAACTTTATTGAGTTTATTTATCAGTGCCAAAATTTTTTTGATAGAAACTTTAGGTTTGTCCATATATAAGCTCATGTCATCTGGCTTCTTTTTTTTTTAACATTATTACTGGTTTAAATAATTAGATTGTGTTTTTCTTTGATGTGATTTTGTTAATTTTCTTTTGTGATTGGTGTATGTTCAGCATCTTGGATTTATAGGCTTCTAACTTTCATCAGATTTTGAAAATTATGGTTCTTCATTTTTTAAACACTATCTGTGTTCCTCTCCTTTCTTCTCTCCTTCTAGTACCCTGATTATATATGTATCAGGCAGCTTGAAGTTGCTCCATAGCTTATTGATGCATACTTTATTCTTTTTCAGTCTTCTTCCTCTCCATTACAATTTGGATGGTTTTTGTTACTGTCTTCAGCAATGTCTAAACACGTTTTCTGCACTATTTAGCTCATCTAATGCAATTTTTATTTCAGATCTTATATTTATTTTTTGAAGTCAATTTAGATCTTTATGCTGACTAAATCTCCTAAGATGTTCAAATATCTTTTATCTTCTTAAGTATATGGAATACATTATAATAATTGTTTTAATGTCCTTATCTAATAAATAATCACGTGTGTCATTTCTGACATGGCTTAATTAAATGTTTTTTTCTCTTAATTTGGGGTAGTAATTTTCTTTTCTCTGAAGGCCAGATAATTTTTAATTGGACACCAAACATTATAAACTTTACATTTTTAGGTGCTTGATCATTTGTATTCATATTTATTTATTTATTTATTTATTTATTTTGTTTTGAGATGGAGTCTCAGTCTGTTCCCCAGCCTGGAGTGCAGTGGCGCATGATCATGGCTCACTGCAACCTCTGCCTCCTGGGGGTTCAAGTGATTGTCCTGTCTCAGCCTCCCAAGTAGCTGGGATTACAGGCACCTGCCACTTTGCCTGGCTAATTTTTGTATTTTTAGTAGAGATGGGGTTTTGCCATGTTAGTCATGCTGGTCTCGAACCCTTGACCTCAAGTGACCCACCCTCCTCGGCCTCCCAAAGTGCTGGGATTACAGGCGTGAGCCACCACGCCCAGCCCCTATAAAGATTTTTAAATGTTGTTCTGTACATGGTTAAGTTACTTTTAAATAACCTGCTCCTTTAGAATTTTGCTTTAGTAAGTTAGGCAGTTCAAGAGCAGGTTAAGTATTCCCCACTTTGAGGTGAAACCTTTCCAAGTACTCTTCCAATGGCCTTCTGAATACTGCCCCATGGGAGTAGTCATTAAACAGTTATTGAACTTTCAGGTATCATTTCTTCTAATCTGTTTAGATGATTCTTTACTTGGCTTTGGGTAGTTTCCTCACAAAGGCGCACTGATCAATATTCAGCTAAATACTACAGTAGGAACTTTGCTGGCTTCTGGAATTGTCTCTTTCCAATGCTCTTTTTACTCTGGAAACTCTGGATATTGGGCCTGCCAGGAGACCCAGGTTAGTTTACTCAACTCAGGTAGACTATCCAGCTCACCTTGATCTTCCCTTTCTGCATTGCTGCCTGGAAACTTTATCCAGGAATTACACTGAGGAAATCTTAGAGTTCACCTCATTTCCCACATTTCAGGAAGCACTATCCTTTATTGTCTCTGTCCAATGACTTGAGACATTTTTTCATGTATTTTGTCTGTCTCTTTCTCCAGTCAGATGGGTAAATAGAGTCTCTATTTTTCTATCTTGTCGGGAAGATTATGGCTGTTTTTATTCATTGTAATGGTTTGGACTCAGTAAGACTCACTGAGTCACCTTGACTTCATACATTTTCCCGATTTCCTTTCCTTCTTAAAATACTTCATTTTTGTCCAATCTCTTTCTTATTAACTAGAGTAAGAAAAACTTTATATAGTTTTTAATGGTGTGGAGTTAGAAATATGACCACTTTTGTCAGAGTCATTTTTCTTAAAAATTTTATGAACTGAGAAAAGGTTTAGAGATTATGAGTCAGATCCACAGTTCGGCCATTCCACACATGTGATTTTATTTAATGCAATCTTTATAGATGGAATTATGTCCATAATTCAGATGTTCTTTGCACATCGCACAAACTGCCCATGTTATTTGTTTGCATTTTCACCTCTTGACCTATGTTTTGTTTTAATTTTTTAAAATTATATGCAAGAAAATGCTAAAGTATGCCTAAATATTTTTTTAGATAGGACTATTTCTTTGTCTTGTGACTCCTTGGAGGCTTAAATGTGTACTTTTCCAATAAAGAAATATATATATATATATATATATGGAGAGAGAGAGAGACATGGTTTCAATCTGTCACCTAGGATGGAGTGCAATGGTGCAATCTAAGCTCACTGCAACCTCCACCTCCCAGGTTCAAGATATTTTCTTTCTTTCTTTTTTTTTAAATTATACTTTAAGTTCTAGGGTACATGTGCACAACGTGCAGGTTTGTTACATATGTATACATGTGCCATGTTGGTCTGCTGCACCCATTAACTCGTCCTTTACATTAGGTATATCTCCTAATGCTATCCCTCCCCCCTCCCACCACCGCCCCATGACAGGCCCTAGTGTGTGATGTTTCCCTTCCTGTGTCCAAATGTTCTCATTGTTCAGTTCCCACCTATGAGTGAGAACATGTGGTGTTTGGTTTTTTGTCCTTGAGATAATTTGCTGAGAATGATGGTTTCCAGTTTCATCCATGTCTCTACAAAGGACATGAACTCATCATTTTTATGGCTGCATAGTATTCCATGGTGTATATGTGCCACATTTTCTTAATCCAGTCTATCATTGATGGACATTTGGGCTGGTTCCAAGACTGCTATTGTGAATAGTGCCTCAATGAACATATGTGTGCATGTGTCTTTATAGCAGCATGATTTATAATCCTTTGGGTATATACCCAGTAATGGGATGGCTGGGTCAAATGGTATTTCTAGTTCTAGATCCTTGAGGAATTGCCACTCTGTCTTCCACAACGGTTGAACTAATTTACGGTCCCACCAACAGTGTAAAAGTCGTCCTATTTCTCCACATCCTCTCCAGCACCCATTGTTTCCTGACGTTTTAATGATTGCCATTCTAACTGGTGTGAGATGATATCTCATTGTGGTTTTGATTTGCATTTCTCTGATGGCCAGTGGTGATGAGCATTTTTTCATGTGTCAGTTGGCTGCATAAATGTCTTCATTTGAGAAGTGTCTGTTCACATCCTTTGCCCACTTTTTGATGGGGTTGTTTGTTTTTTTCTTGTAAATTTGTTTGAGTTCTTTGTAGATTCTGGATATTAGCCCTTTGTCAGATGAGTAGATTGCAAAAATTTTCTCCCATTCTGTAGGTTGCCTGTTCACTCTGATGGTAGTTTCTTTGACTGTGCAGAGCTCTTTAGTTTAATTAGATCACATTTGTCAATTTTGGCTTTTATTGCCATTGCTTTTGGTGTTTTAGACATGAAGTCCTTGCCCATGCCTATGTCCTGAATGGTAATTGCCTAGGTTTTCTTCTAGGGTTTTTATGGTTTTAGGTCTAACGTGTAAGTCTTTAATCCATCTTGAATTAATTTTTGTATAAGGTGTAAGGAAGGGATCCAGTTTCAGCTTTCTACATATGGCTAGCCAGTTTTCCCAGCACCATTTATTAAATAGGGAATCCTTTCCTCATTTCTTGTTTTTGTCATGTTTGTCAAAGATCAGATGGTTGTAGATGTGTGGTATTATTTCTGAGGGCTCTGTCCTGTTCCATTGATCTATATCTCTGTTTTGGTACCAGTACCATGCTGTTTTGGTTACTGTAGCCTTGTAGTATAGTTTGAAGTCAGGTAGCGTGATGCCTCCCTTCCTTTCTAGTAGCTGGGATTAGAGGCATGCACCACCATGCCTGGCTAATTTTTTTGTATTTTTAGTAGATACGGGGTTTCACCAAGTTGTCCAGGCTGGTCTTGAATTCCTGACCTCAAGTGATCCACCCATCTCAACCTCCCAAAGTGCTAGGATTACAGGTGTGCAACACCATGCCTGGTTAATTTTTGTATTTTTAGTAGAGACCAGTTTTGCCATGTTGGCCAGGCTAGTGTCAAACTCCTGACCTCAAGAGATCTGCCAGCCTTGACCTCCCAATATGCTGGAACTACACGTGTGAGCCACTGCACCTGGCCAAGAATTTTATATTTAATACTTTCCAAATTTATTTGACTGTGAATTTTTTTGTTATTGTTTATACATGTTTAAGTAATACATGTTGGAAAATATGTCCTTTGCCAATATTTTTAAAATTACAAAGAAGCATTGTTCTGACACTTATTCAGAAAGAATTGCCTTAAATAACATGTCATTGTCAGTCACTAAGGTTGTACCATTTTTTAAATTAACTCAGAAGCATCATCTAAACCAGAATGCAAAAAGATTGAAAAATGACTTATACCTGTCTGCTTTGTCATTTGTGTCATTTATAAAATGTTTTTCAAATTATTATCAATAACATAATTATACTAATAAAATTAGAAATATTAACATAAGAATCACAGATATCAAGAAATAAGGGTTTTATTTTGTTAGAGGGAAGCTGAGTTTTTCCATTTTGTATTTTTTTATGCTAGTCTTAGATATAAAAATTATAGTACTTATGTTTGAATAAAATTATTTATAATACAAATGACTGTCCTTCCTTTGATAGCTTTTACCTTTATATAGTTAATATTTCAAAAAATTATATACTAATAATTTTAGTAATTCTTATTTTGTTTCATATATTTTGTGACTTTATTTGAATATTGTTGTCTGTTATTACTGATGTTGATGTTAGAAACTGTAAGGTTTTAGGAATTCCAATGTCATTGGTTTGATTTATCCACTGAATGCAGAAAGTGCCTACTATTGCTACGTTTGTAGTAATGTAACTAAAATATTTAATAAATGGGTTTGTGGCTAACTTAGCATTGTCAATAAAAATTTTAAAATATTTTTTGCTCCGAAAATTAGATATTTGGTAGAAAATGCATTGTACTTATCTTAATTAAATGTTTTGTTGATGATTAAAAGACCTGTCCAGTTTTAGGATCATCTTTCTGAATATCAATGAACTCTGGGCAGTATTTTATATGAAGTAATAAAATATTGGATGAATCTATTCTAATTATCTGGCAAAACCTAGAAATGTATTTGCTTGTGGGTCTTGTGATTGAACTCTTACCTCTAAAATTAAACATGGAGAAAAAATAGGAAAGAGATGCTGGCTAATTTATGATTCTCTATTATGGTTTTTTTTTCATGGAAGTGTCATTTTTTATTCTTATTATAGTCATATTTTTAAGAATATTGCATAAAGAAAAAAACTAAATGATGTATTTTAGTGTTAAACCTTAGTATATGATGAGAGCTGGATAATTTTCTAGCTGCTATAGAGAAACATCTTGACTGTATCACTCTAATATATATGACAGAAGAAAAAATAATGGGGAGTACAGAACCTCTGCATAACAAACAGAAAAATACACTACATAAAACAGATTTTAAAGCCCTTCCTTACTCATGGAAGGATGTAATTGGATGAGTTGATATTTGATCATGGAAACCATATTGATTTTATAGTTTTTTGCACCTTCATCATTTGCTTCATTGTCACAGAAAGTCCACAAAATAGAAATCTATGTTAAAATTGATCATATCTTTCAGTAGTTGGTTGTCTTAATGCTCATAGAATAATACAAGTTATAAAAATCTACCTCACTAAAAATTAATCTTAAGTTCTTTTACTTATATGGACAGAAAATTGAACATCTAAAATTTTAATCTACATTATAAAATATTTCATTTAAATTTTTAAGTCATTACTTTTTAAGAAAATTTGGAAAATTATTGGACACTTTTCTTGTGTACTTCTGAGGCCCCACAAAAAATTAAATAAGAATGATCATTTTTTTTAACTTCTCCTCCTGTTCTTTCAAATTTCCACAAATCAGATTTGCTACCCTGCTTCACCACTCAGTGTGGCCTCAGATTAATCTACAGAGTGTCAAAAAATCAAAAATTCCTTTATTCATGCACAGGTACCTTCAATCAGTTTTTTCTCACTGCTGAATTTCTGGTACTATCAAATTTCTCATCTATCTTTGTGCATTTAATAAATAATTCAAGCATAGGATATTGACTGAGTATTCATTGTTTTAAAGTGCTCATGGAGTATAGTAATATTAAAATATTTTGAACTGTAATAAATATTACCTCTAGTTGTTATTACAGCACAGTGTCTTAGAGATCATTTGTTTTTCTATGGTACAAAAGTTATAATATCTACTAGGGATACTATATTTAAATTGGACCTGGTATATATAATCATATTTGTTTTTATCTACTTTATTATGTAAAATAGTGAACTATTTTATTATCTGTATTCTTGTGTTGTTACTTTTTTCCTATTCATTTTTTCTTAAATTTTTATATTGAAATAACTCAAACTTGCAGAAAAATTGAAAGAATATTAGAAAAGATTCCCATATGTCATTTTGTCTTATTAGCTGTATCATTTCTCTGAATATTACATATATTTGTATCTAGATATGTATTTATTTTATATGCATATGGTATATATTATATAGCATATATGTGTAAAAACCTTTTATATTTATATATAATATATAATTACTTTTTCTACCAATTGATAATAAGTTTCACACATGATACCCATTTAACTAAAAGACAAGTACACTTTCATATGCTTTCACATTTAATTGATGTGCTGCAACTAGTTGAATGGGCTTACAAGAGCCAAATGTGCACATTTCTTCCTAATTTTTGCTCACTGATTCCACATTAGTATCTTGGAATCAGCCACTGTAAGAGTATTTACAATATGAAAATCAGTAGATGTTAGAAATCAGGGCTTCCCTGTCCACCACCACCTCTGCAGATGTGGTTTGCCAGAACACCACTAAAACAATCATGACTTTCAGGAAATTAACATTACTATAGCACTACCAAAACCAAGAGATATTATTCATATAGTGAATTTTAATAATGTTCTTTACAGTCATAAAACAAAACAAAAGCCTATTTTTTTGTTTAACAAAACACAAGAAATATTTCATATTGCTCCATCTGGAACAGTTTCTTGGGTGTGTTTTGTATTTTGTGACCTTGAAATTTTGGTTGAGTACATGTCAATTAATTTGTAGTGGATTTTCCCACAATTTTGGTATATATGATGTTTCTTCATGATTAGATTCAGGTTATGCATTTTTTGTCAGGAACCCGGAGAATACAATCTCCATGTTTTTAACTCCCAAATTATGAATCTAGTCTAGACTTTTATCCTAAAGCATTGGACTTATTTGTTCAACTGGTAGTTGGATGCCACTACTTTGATAAATTAGAGATATTATTAACTTAACATGTTCAAAATTAAACTATTGTTTTTCTCTCTAAAATTTGATCTATAATCTTCCACATTTCAAATTAATAGTAAATATTATTCTTTCATTTCAGGCTTAGCTCCTTACTCTTTTTATACCCCACACACAAAATTTCACATATTACTACAAATTTACTGGCTTAAAATAGCACATATATATTCTCTTACAGTCCTGCAAGTCAGAGGTCTGAAATGGCCTTCACTGAACAAATAACAGTGTTGGCAAGGCTTTCTTTGTTTCTTTCGGAAAAATCTGGAGGACAATCAATTTCCTTTCATTTTCTAACTTGTAGAGGTTGCCTGCATTCTTGGGCTAATGGCCCCTTCTTCCATCTTCAAAACCAACAGTTAGCATCTTCAAATTTCCCCCTTTCTAATCTTTGCTTCTACTGTTACATCTCCATATCCGACTGACCCTCTGTCCTCCCTCTTATGTGAGTCCTTGTGATTAAACTGGGTCTTCCAGAATAATCCAGATAGTCTCATCATCTAGAGATCCTTAATTAAATGCATCTGGAATGTCCCTTTTGCCATGTAAAGCAACATATTCATAGTGAGAGACAGGACTAGCTGGATTTCCTAGGCTGACTAAGAATTCCTAAGCCTAGCTGGGGAAGGTGACTGCACCCATCTTTAAATACGGGGCTTGTAACTCAGCTCACACCCAATCAATCAGATAGTAAAGAGAGCTCACTAAAATACCAATTAGTCTAAAAGCAGGAGGTAAAGAAATAGTCAATCATCTATAGCCTGAGAGCACAGGGGGAGGGACAATGATTGGGATATAAACCTAGGCATTGGAGCCAGCAGTGGCAACCCCCTTTGGGTCCCTCTGGTTGTATGGGAGCTCTGTTTTCACTCTATTAAATCTTGCAACTGCACATTCTTCTGGTCCCTGTTTGTTTCGGCTTGAGCTGAGCTTTCACTCACCGTCCACCACTGCTGATCACTGCCATTGCAGACCCACCACTGACTTCCACTTTGGATCTGGCAGGGTGTCCACTGTGCTTCTGATCCAGCAAGGCACCCATTGCGCTCCTGATCAGACTAGAGGCTCACCATTGTTCCTGCGTGGCTAAGTGCCCGGGTTTGTTCTAATCGAGCTCGTATACTAGTTGCTGGGTTCCATGGTCCTCTTCCATGACCCATGGCTTCTAATAGAGCTATAACACTCACCGCATGGCTCAAGGTTCCATTCTTTGGAATCCATGAGGCCAAGAACCCCAGGTCAGAAAACAAAATTCTTGTCGCCATCTTGGGAGCAGCCCGCCACCAACTAGGGAGCTCTAAAAACAAAGTTCCTCCAGTAACAATAGTGGAGTAGGATGTAGACATCTTGGGGAAGAGACACTATTCTACCTACCACACACTCTCTCGTATCCTCCATATGTAATACATGAGAACTACCTATCCACTCTATCTTAAAAATATACGTAGATATAGATATATACAGAATCCAACTACGTCTCACCTCTCCACTGCTAACACCTTGATCCTTACTATCACTGTCTATTGACTAGGGTATTGATAACACTTTTTAATGTGACTCCTTGCTTCTCCTACCAGAAACCAAAGTGATTCTGTTAAAATGAAAAAATCCAGTTGTTTCATTTGCCTTCTGAAAACCTTCTGACTTAGAGTACTTCCTGCAAGTTTCTACAAGATCTTTTCCTTTCCCTCTTTACTCTTTAGACTTATTACTTCTGTTCTCAGTTGGTTATGACCACACTAATATTTTTGTTATTCTTTTAACATTCCCAGTGTAATCCCTATTAGGGTTAATACACTGCCTATTTTCTCTCCCTGTATTATTTCATTTCAGATACTCAAAAGCCTGACTACCCCGACCCCCAGAAAAAGCCTAACTCTCAAATTTCCTTAAAGTGTTTTCATAAATATTTTCTTTTCTGTGAGGCCTCATTTGAACTCCCAATAAAAGCTATTAGGTTGGTGCAAAAGTAATTGCGGTTTTTGCAATTAAAAGTAATGGGAAAAACCACAATTACTTTTGCATCAACCTAATAAAATCAGTTTCCCTCATACCCACCGCATTCCTGTTTCAACTTTTCATGCTTTATTTTTTTCCTTAGGATTTATCACCTTCTAACATACCATATAATTTGTGTCGTTTATTTTCTGCTTCTCCCTAATAAAATGTAAGATCTTTGAGAACAGAAATTTTTAAATGTATGTTTGTGTATGTATGCTTTTTATTCATGGTTGTATTCTAAATACTACAATAGTATCTAGCACATACAAAATATTAGTTTAATCAAATTGAATCTCCTTCTGTGGTAATGACTTACTTCACTTACCTAATGACAATCGAATATAGTTATACAACGACTGTTTATTTATTCAGATTATGACCAAAATATAAGACAATCTGTGCCTTGGCTGCATTAGCACCAATTTCTATTCCACTAAGCTAGCTTGAACATGACTATTTTTGTCTATCTGTAAACAATGAATGGTCTTATGTGTATATGGCAGTAAGTAGCCAAGCATGACTCAGTAAATTGTTCATTATTGTTGTTATTAATTACTAGTGTTCTCATTTTCCTCAAATTTCCTGCCATTTTAATTTTTGTGAAATTTCCTTTGAGGGAAAAAAACTGTATGTAATTGCTAAGGAAATAAAATCTTCATATAATCCCTGAATATCAAATTTAGAAGGCTACTGACTAATTAATTAATTTTGCAAACAAAGAAACTAAGACAAGAGCGTTAACAACTTATTTCCCTAGGACCATGGAGTCATTAAGTAGTAGAATGGGCCTAGGCCACCAACCCTAATGGGCCATGGAGTCATTAAGTATTAGAACGGGCCTAGGCTCTTTCTTCTACAATACTCTGTAGCAATGTGCATTACTTATTAAATGTATTATGGATCCTCAGTCTAAGTAGATACGATTACAACCACAAGCAAACCCATCAGACAAGCAGACGCAGAAAACATCTTTGTGCCAAAAATCAAAAGAAAAAAGTTTAATCATTTTGGCTAAAGTTATCTGTAAATATAAAAGCAAATTTGTATGATTTCTTTACATGGTTAATATTATTTACTCAACTTATGTTTTCCCACATTTGGCCTCTTGGTTTTATTCGTTCACTTATTCATTGAATTAAACAAATATGTATTTCAGTGACAACATTTACACTTTTGAGTTGTAGTCTCATTTACATGATTGAATCAGTGAAAAACTAGGAAGAAAAGGAGTTAAGTTCATATAATTTAAACTTTGGAGACACAAACGTGTATACTTAGGAGGTCAAACGGAGAACATAAAGTCACGGAGGAGACCCGGACATATATATATAAAAGAAAAATATCTCCTGTGCTGTAACTAATCTCAACAGCTGCCAATCTATGCTAACTTGTATGTTAGTTCCTATTTTTTAAATTAAAGTAAAAGTTTAAAAATTCACAGAAACTTAAAAGTTCACAGAACTTAAACATGTACATCCACTTATCTCATATGCCTACCTAGATACAGAATTTTTCTGTCACCCCAACAAGTATTCTTGTGCAATTTCCACATCAATTCCTTCCACAGTTAGATAACTACTATTCTGATCTCCATAGATTAGTTTTCTTTGCTTAAATTCATATAAATTGAATCATAGGGTATGTGACTTTATATGGCTGGCTTTCTGTCATCTATGTGTGCTTTAGATTTGACCATGTAGTTGTGTGCATCAGTAATGTTTCTTTTTACTGATGAGTATTATTCCATTGTGTAAACCTATTACAATTTACTCATTGTCTTTTTAAATGGACATTTACATTGTTCCCAGTATTTGATTATTATAAATAAAAATACTGTAAACATTATTATCTTATGGGTGTATGTTTTTATTTTTCTTAAATAAATATGAATAAATTGCTGAGTCAGAGGAAAAACCTCTTCTCCAAAGTGGTTGAAACATTTTACACAAGAAGCAAATTCTTGCCCATATTTGAACTGCCAGACATTTTAGCCATTCTAATTGGTATGAAGTATAGCTTAAATTATATTTTGTGATGATTAATTACGTTGAACAGTTTTTCATGTGCTCATGGGGGCCTTTCACACAATTTTTTTGTCCATTTTTAGTTCAGTTGTTTCTGTTTTTATTATTGAGCTAGTAGTCTTTTATATATTCTAGATCTAAGTCACTTGCTAGTTATACATATTACAAGTGTTTTCTCCCAGTATGTGACTTCCCTGTTCATTTCTCAATTATGTCTTTTGATGAGCAAAAGTTTTAATTTTTTAAATTTTGATAAAATCCAACTTCTCAGTTTTTCTTTTACAGTTAGTATTTTTATTGTTCTGCCTAAAATACATATTTTAAATGACTTTAGATATTCTTCTATGCTTCTTTTTAGAAGCTCTGAAGTTTTAACTTTCTATGTTTAGGATTATGACCCAGCTCAATTTTTTTTTTTTTTTTTTTTTTTTTAGTAGAGACGGGGTTTCTCCGTGTTGGTCAGTCTGGTCTCAAACTCCTGACTTCAGGTGATCTGCCCCGCCTTGGCCTCCCAAAGTGCCGGGATTACAGGAGTGAGTCACTGCACCCGGCCCCATCTCAATATTTTTTAAGTGTATGAAGTGGAAATAGCCAAAGTACATTTTGTTTCCCCATATATCTTTCCATTCTTTCCATTTTACCAGTACCATTTGTTGATAAAACTCTCTTTTCCCTCATTTAGTTGCATTTTTTGCTTGGTTGAAAATTGGTGATACAAGTATTAAATTTTAAAAGATCGTGCCAGCCAAACAAAATGGCAACATTTGGCTTAATTTCACCAATATGTAGCTTTTGCTTTACAGAAATGAAGGAGTAACTTGTCTCTACTAAGTTTTTATTTTATATCAAGCATGATGTTAGTTGCCTTATAAAATTTATCCTACTAACTTTAAAAAGTTTCATTTCTTTTTTGTTTTTTTTGAGATGGAGTCTTCCTCTGTTGCCCAGAATGCAGTGCAATGACACCATCTCGGCTCACTGCAAGCTCCACCTCCCGTGTTCACAACCATTCTCCTGCCTCAGCCTCTGCGAGTAGCTGGGAGTACAGGTGCCCACCACCACGCCCGGCTAATTTTTTTGTACTTCTAGTAGAGACAGGGTTTCACTGTGGTCTCATCTCCTGACGTCGTGATCCGCCTGCCTCAGCCTCCCAAAGTGCTGGGATTACAAGCGTGAGCCACGGCGCCCAGCCAAATTTTCATTTCTTTCATTGTATTAATTAAAATCATGTAAAACAGTTTGGCTGGTGGAATTTTTAAAAATCAGCTTTATTGAAATCTAATTGACATGTAATAAAATTCACCAATTTTATTTCTGATTTTATGAGTTTTGACTGATCTAAACAGTCATATAACCAATACTACTGTGATAGAGAAATTTTTATCACCCCAAAAACTTTTTCTCATGTCCATTTGCAGTTACCCCAGCCACCTCCCCAAAATAGCCACAGTCAACCACTAATCTTTTTGCTGTCAATATACTTTTGCTTTTAATAGAATTTCATGTAAATAAAATCATGCAGTATGAGGTCTATTTGGTTGGCTTCTTCCACTTAGCATAATGCTTTTTTAATTCACTCATGTTATATTTATCAGTAGTTTATTCTATTTAATTGCTAAGTAGTATTACATAGTGTGCATATACCACAATTTGTCCAACATTTGTAAATTCTTTAGCCTGGAATATTATTAGAACCTATAATTTCAATCCATTAACGTAATTCAGTTGTTTTTTGTCTACCTTACTGGAAATAAATTTGCTGTCAATTACAATAGACAACAGTAAATTCAGTTATATAAGAATGTGAGATGAGAGAATTCAAAGTTTCAAACATCCATGCTGAGAATTTTAAAAAGGTAACAGTTCAAAGAGATGTTTGCCAACATTAAGAGGGTGATTACAATGACATACCTAGAGATAAACTGGGGGGTAAAGCAAAATATTTTGTCTTAAACTTTTTAGATTATATAACATTATTTTTATTGTTAATTATTTTTATTAGTTTCTCTAGAAAAAGACAGCTGAATATGTGACAGTGTTTCCCTGAGCTGGTAGAGAAATGAATCAATCATGGTTATCAGGACTTGAAAGAAGAAAGTAGACATTACGGGGGAATATTATAATCTATAGAAGCATATTCATAGTATGCTCAAGCAAAAGCAAGACAACTTGAATGTAAAAGAGAAAGGAAGAAGAAACAATAATGTAAATAAAAAATAAATGTAGAGAAAATAAAGGAAGTACAAATAATACTAATTTATTAGTAGTACTAATAATAACTAAAAAAAAATTGAAAACCCTATATATGGTTGTGAATGGGAAAAACCCCTAGCGTTATATATTCAGAAGTTATTATTTCTGTTTTTGGGCATTAGCCATGTAGAGAAAATATACAAAATGCAATTGGCAGACATTCTATTACTCATGCAAGAGTGTTTAGGAAGAAGTTTAAGATCAATTACTTTTTGGAGTGACATCATCAATTTGGCAGTACAGGAGATCCCTCACTCCTATCTCCTCATAGCAACAATAATTTGACAGCCAGCCATAGGCAAGCACGTCTTTGAGGGAATTTGGGATTCACATAGGAGTGTGCAAAATCCTACTGGAGCTCAAGACCAGGGAAGGCTGTTTTGAGAGTACAGACCCATGCCCAGGTTGCAGACTCAGTGATGATGGTATTAGTTTCAGACTCAGAAATGGCCCAATCCCCAGTGGACTCAGCTACAGCCCCATTTGGTCTTGGTCATGCTACAAGAACCATCTGCCAAGGTACCTGGAGGAGTCACATCTATTCATGCCTCTGGTGACAGGCCCACTAACCTCAGTCCTTGCTGTGGCTCTTAAAAGGATCTCTTACAACCCAGCTTTATCTCCTTCCAGTCATTGTCCAGGACCACTACTGTCCGCCCAGGGATCCACCATGAGACACTCTCATCCATGCCTCCAGATTCTGGCCTGCAAACTTCAATCTTGGCTGTGGATCCTGAAGCATCCCTATGAATTGGCTCCAGCCACTCTAATCCATGGTCCAGGGCCAGACCTGCTTGCCCATGGACCCACCCAGTGATCCACTAAGAGCCCCAGTCTAGAACCCAGAGGGAGCTACACCAAGCCACATACCTGGTAACAGGCTTGCTATTTGTGGACCCTGAAGCATACCCTCATTCCAGCATCCACCCTGCTGACCAGGTTCCTGGAGGCAGTCCCATACTATCAGGGATCAAATAAGATCCATGCTCATTCATGCTTCTAATAACAGGACAGCCAACAGTGGATTTAATGGCGGGACTAATATGACCTGACTCCAACCCTGCTTGATAGAACTCTGGAGAAAACCAGTCTAGACACTGTATGGAAGGGTTTACCTGCCAAAACTAATCTGTAAAGATTAGGGCAGGTGTTTACTTCTTCATATACACAGACTAATATAAAGCTGCATGGATAACAATGAATCAGGCAAGCATGATATCATGAAAGGAAACTAATAAAGCTCTAGTAGCCAAAATGAAAGAAATGAAGATCTAAGATTAATGAGATGCATTAAAACAGATAGACAACTAAATGAAATTAGGAAAACAATACATGGACAAAATTAAAATTTTAATAAAGTAATAGAAACCATAAAAAATAGAAATCCTGGAGCTGAAGAGTACGGTGACAGAACTGCAAAATTAAGCGGAAAGCTTACACAGTAGACTAAACTATGTAGAAGAAAGAATTAGTGAATTTGAAGACAGACCATTTTAAAGTAGTCAGAGGAACAAAAAGAAAAAAGTGAAAAAAACATAAGAGACCTATTGGACATGACCAAGCACACAAATATATAAATTATGGAAGTCTCAGAAGAAGAAAGGAGAGCAGAAAGTTTATTTAAGGAAATAATGCCTGAAAATTTCCCAAATCTTGGAAAAAACTAGGACATCTAGATTCATGAAGCTCAAAAGATCCCAAAGAAGATCAATTCAAAGAGAAACACTCTGAGAGACGTTACAATTAAACTGTCAAAAATCAAAGACAAATAATCTTGAAAGCAGCAAGAGAAAAAAGACTCATCACATACAAAGGAAGCTCAGTAAGGCTATCAGCAAACTTCTCAGCAGAAACTTTGCGTGAAAGGAGGGAGTGGAGTAATATATTCAACGTGCAGAAAGAAAAAATAAGCTGTCAACCAAGAGTGCTACACCTGGCAAAGTAAATGTTATATGTTATCATTATAAAAAATAAAACCACACAATATCCCTTTTCTGTTCTACAAATTTTAGGAGTACTAATTTGGCCTAAGTTCTTTGAGATGCTGTCACAAAACTGTCATCTTGAGAGTTTATGAGAGAGATTCCTGGCATCAATCAAATGAGTTTTTGCTTCCCCTGGTCTCTCTTTGGAGAGTAATGCTGTGCACATGTGTCTGTATGAGTGAAAATCTACAACTAGTATGTCTTTCAATTCATTTCTTATCAAAGTTTGAGTGGGTGAAAGGGGAAAGGGCAAATTTCTACAGTGGGCAAATTTCTATAGTGGTGATTTGTTCTTTCTTTAAATAGAATTTACTTTACTACCTTTTAAAAAAGAAGGTGGAGTTCAGAAAGTGATTATGTGTATGTAGAAGTGATGCTAACTGGGGTTATGATGGGGCATAAAAAGAATGCTTAAGTTTAGAAACCTTGATAAGATTTAATAGATATTAATCTATAAAAATAAAAGCCTTGTAAACTTCAATAAATCTTATTTCACCTTCTCACTCTTATTCCAATGACAATACATTATCTTATTCATTTTATTTTCTTATTTTGATATTAGACACTAAGACAACTTAAAAAGGAAGGAAGATAGAAAGGAATGACAAAAAGCCAGATGTTAATTTTCTATTAGCAGGATTTCTCCTGCTTTAATTTCCAACTGATTTTGTAACATCTAATTTAGTTTACAGTGACCATCAATATTCAAAATACACTTTTGGTTTTCTTTTTAACTCCATAAAGAACTACTATTTAAGTTTCACTGTGCACAAGATAGAACTACTGTATTCCACTTTTGTTGTCTAGTGATAAGTGACAAAGAGTGAATTTTCTTTGGTTCAAAAAGGCCTCTGTCTATAAATGTGCATCTACTCATCTAATAGTGTTACACTTGAAAAATTATTTCTTATGCTTAAAAAATATAATTTTGTTCAAATTAGAAAAGAACAATCTTTTTAATGTTATGCATATACTATGCAGGGTAAGTTAATTATATTATAACTTAATTTATCATTATAATTATATTAACTTACCTTGGATAGTATATGTATAATATTAAAAACTATAACAAGATGCTCCATTTTTGTGGTAAGAATATTGCATCTTTTTCAATTATGATAAAATACATATAACATAAAGTTTATTATCTTAACCATTTTAAGTGTACAGTTAAAAAGTGTTAAGTATAGTTCAAACTGTTATGCAACCAATTTTAACTGTTTTATCATGCAAAATTGAAGCTCTATACCCACTAAAGAATTCCCATTTTCTCTTCTCCATACCCCCAGCAACAACTATTTTACTTTCTATGAGTTTGACTACTTTACATACTTTTTATCAGTGGAATCATACATTATTTGTGACTGGTTTATTTCACTTAGTATAATGTCTCAAAGGTTCATCTATGTTGTAGCATGCATCAGAATTATCTTTATTTTGAAAAACTGAATAATATTCTATTGTATGTGTATACCACAATTTGTGTATCCATTCATCTATTGGTGGGCACTGGGGTTGCTTCCACCTTGTGCCTCTTTTGAGTAATGTTGCTATCAACATGTGTATGCATCTATTGTGTTCTCCACTAAGCTAAGATATGAGACTTAGCAATTGCACAAGTTCCAAAATTTTAAACTTAAATATATTTTCAAGTTGTAATAATAGAACTGAACATTTTGCTTTTGCCTTTCTCCCTTTGTGCTCTAAAACACGTCAATTATCATGATGTGGAAAAAGATCTATTCAGAAAAGCCCTGTATTATGAAAGATAACATGAATTTCAGGATCATTTGAAAAGCTTTACATCCTAAAATAAGCCAGGATTCTGTTTTGTCTTAACCTAAGGCTAAAACTTCTGCTTTTTATTCAGATTTATCCACACAACATTACATCAGAATTTTCTACTGTCTTACAATAATTTGAACAATACGTAAAGCCTTCTTTATTCTGGAATCTCAATTGTTCTAAAAGCTGAACTCCTTTGCATTTTTACATATTTTATTATTGCAAGTAAAACTTCACTCACTTTTTAAAATATTGTCTATGAGATTTATGTTTTGGCAATTTACATTGTGGGTGTCCCAGTGCAATATTCACATAAAACACACAACATAGTTAAGTAAAGGAGTATATTTTATAAACCTCTTATGCCAGTCCTGCCTCCCTTGGTTCCAAGTGTGAAAAGAGTTAGTGTCACCATGCAGCAAAACAATTTTTACTCCCATTGAGCCAGATTCATGGTCATTTGGTGTCTAGGATAGATTTGGTTTCAGACCAATCTGAGTGATTTCTGCCTTAATGGATGCCTGGTCCTCTCTGGTAATGGGAAGGGCAGAGAAGTTGGTGCCCACCTATGCTGTTTTGGTGTTCATAAGATTCTGATGTATTTCCTGTAACCAAAATACATCTTCAAAACTGCATCATGAGGGCAGAGATTTTATAAAGATCATGGTCCAGTCTCAATTGCATAAGTGAAAAAGTTGCTCATATCATGTCCAGCATCCCTGATATTATTTTTATTTGACTGTAAAAGTAATTCTCAACTTGTCTGGTTTCGCCTTGCCTGCAGAAGTTGTTTGCATATGTGTTTGTAGCTGTATTAACTTTTCACTCATGGCTGAATTGCCAGATGATACCAGATCTCTCCCTGCACTTCATAAAAGAAACATTATTAAATACAATAAATGACTTATTTGTTATCATTGTGCCTTTGAATGTATGTACAATTTTCCCAGGGAGTCTCTCTTAGGGATTTTTTGGGCATACAAATCTCTCATATGTGTACAATGTAGGGATATGCAATTGAAAATAAATAATTAAAAAACAGACAGATGCACTATCAAAAAGAAATACATGTGTACAAATGTTTAAAGATTTAAAACTGGGTTTGCAGAACTTGAAAGTGAAAGATTTCTGTTATAAAACTAAGCAATGTCCAGCTTGTATAACATTTGGAATCAGCCTCAATGTATGTTTTGAATCTTGACTACTCAGATATCACATAGGCACCTGTCCTTTCACATCTGCTTTGTCCAGCAACTTTATTACCTTTCATCATTGTCACTGAGCTATATGAAACATTGAAAGAGTCAAAGAGTGCTTTTATTCTCATTTTTAAAATAGAAAGTAGGTGACTTCCACAGAAATATACAAATGGGTTAAGTCAAGATATGATTAAAAGATTTATGTTTTGATAACACAGTATTACATTTTAGATTTGAAGCCATAGTTTGACCCATGGTCTGACAGGGCTACAGAAAACAGCGCATATAAAACAAAGATAAGTATGTTTTGTCCATCAACTCTTTCCTTCAGCCATTTAAGCGGACTAAGATTCCTTCCCCAGTTCTCAGCCCTTGAGAAGAGGAGTTATAATCTTCAGAAAAAGGCTACCTCTAACCTGCCAAAGAGTTTGATATTATTCTTCTGTTGTAGAATATGAAGTATTCATTGAGCAAAAAAGATTTATGTATACTTGTCTATTTCTGCAATAGATTAATATATTAATGTAATCACTCATATTTTAAAAAACTCTCTTGTAAAAATAGGTATTCATATATATCTAAGATAAGGGAGCAAAAGAAATATATTTTAGAGAATGTCTTAGAGACAGAAGAAAAATATCTGCTTTTTAAAAAGAAAAAATTCTGTCACAGAAGCTGCTAGCTTAGAAAAACTGAACTGTGATAACAGTGGCTGATTATTACTTAAGAAATAAACAATAAAAAATAAAAAACATAGCAACTAATAGTCATAAAATGCCACAAATAAAATAAACATTTTAATATATTGTAAAATAAATGAAAAAATAATTATACAAATTCAAGTTCATATACCATTCCCAATTAAGGAAAATCCTTAAACAATATGAATCAGTTTAATAATTTTTTGTAAAAATAGCTGTATGTTTTCTCTGTGATCTTTGATCTTACCACTGTTTAAAATATCATGCAAATGCCACATCTTCTTTTATGTTTGGTTTGTGTTTCTCTTTTTTTGTTTTTCATTTCCTTGAACTTCCTAAATTTTCCTCACTGCTTTTATAAATCCTGTAAATGATCAAACTACTTAAATTCATGGGAATGTACACATATTTGTTTAAATAGATTGAATTACAATAAGATTTTTAAAAAAGTATTTGTTCTTGTAAATCTCAGACAATGTTCACCTCAAGTCTTTTTCTGCTTTCACTAACTGGGTAAAAATTTAAATGTCATTTTTTCAAAAAATTTTTGATCTATACAGTAATTTTCTTGTTTGATAGTTTTAACTTATAATGTTACTATAATTAATTAACTTTAAGACCTTGGACTAATAAAAGATTGAGTTAATGCATGAGAATTAAGACACTTAAATTAGGAAAGAAAAAAAAGAGATTGAGAAAAATCTAGGTCACCAAGCATGGTTTTGACTCATATATCCATGTTTTACAAAATATTTTTGCTATTTGTAAAACTATTGTCAACTAAGAAAACACTAGCTTTAATGTGGTAGAAATATTTATGCTGACAAGATTTGCATATTTGCACTTATGTGTTGCATGTACATTTAAACACAAACATAAATATAGGCTATTATTATTCAACAAAGTTTATGAATGATAAAAAGAAAAACCCAATAGTTTGGAAGACAACTGGTCTCTGTCTGGTGTTAGCAGGCAGTGGCAGAAAGGCACCCCAGGCCTACTTATTTATCCAGATAGTACATATTCTTTTTATCATCAGGGCGCTCTTACTTCCCAACAGACTATTAACCTTTTTGGTTTTGTTATTGTTAACAAAAGTTTCATGCTTTTGAAAATAGCTAGAATTCTTAAACATTATTACTTGCTACTGTGTTTATTTTGAATATTCTCATGCTAAACAAGGACTGGAGTCATTTCTTGTTGTGCTGTGGATATTTATGACTTACATTCATAGCTGTACATAACATGGGCTGTCAGGCCTCAAATTCAGAATAATCTGACTGATTTTTTTTTACATACAATTTTTTGGAGATTACCTTTTGGCCATCGGATAGCACCAAGTTTTACTCTCTCAGCTTTGAAAGTAATGGAGGCTATATGTAACAAGATATGTTTGGTATTTCCCATTTTTATTAGTTCACTACTGTTATGAGCTGTCTTTTCATTTAGCCACAATATGGGAAGTCTGCTGTAATGGTTATTTGATTTAACCAGATGGGCATCTCTTTCCCCAAGGATGCCCAGATAGCTAATAAAACATCATTATTTCTGGGTGCTTGTCTGTGAGGGGGTTTCTGGAAGAGATCAGTATTTGAACTGGTAGACTGAGTAAAGATGATCACTCTCCCCAAATGTCGATGGGCATTGTTCAATCCATTGAGGTCCTGAATAGAAAAAAAAGTGGAGGAAGGGTGAAAGTGCTCTCTTGTGGAGCTGAGACATCCAACTTCTTTTGCCTTCAGACATCAATGCTTCTGGGTCTTGGGCCTTCGGACTTGGACTGGAAATTACACCAATGGCTACCCTTGTTCTCAGGCCTCTGGGCTTGGATTGGCTCTATGCCACCTGCATTCTTGGGCATTCACCTTGCAGGTGGTAAATTGTGGGACTTTTCAGCCTCTCCTCTGTTATCATGTCACAATCCCTCATAATAAATATCTTCTTTCCTATCTATCTATCTATCTTATTGGTTCTGTTTGTTTCAAGAACCCTGACTGATACATCTGTCAAATCAAATAAAGGAGCTAAACGTTCCCTAGGTCTATTTTGTAAATATAAAATGTTATTCACATGAATATGTTTCAATGTATTTTTCAGGATGAATGGATGCATACACACGTTCATGTGCAAAGATTGTCATAATAATTGTCATTAAGTTGATATTATAGAATATATTGTTTCATGGTTTAACAATACCTTTGTTGATTGATGGCATTTGTGAAACACAGTTTACTGGATGAGTCAGAAGGCATTAAAAATTTGTTGATGTCATCACTATCCGTAATATGTTATTGCCTTCAGAGTAATCACTAACTAAAAATATGTTAAATAGTTTATTATTATAATATCCCCAAACAGGATTTTATAATCCTCCATTCTTATATTGTTCATTACTATAATAAATTAACCAGAACTATTTAGTTTTGAAGAATGATACCCACAGTAAAGGACTGTGCCATGTGCTCTTGACAATTGATACTTCACATACCATCTTATAAGAACAGGATTCCCAGTGGAAGATGGCACTGCCATGAGCACCCACCTGTTAGTCTGTTCTGAGGCACTGAGTCAGCATTTTCATAACTCTTAGTCCAGATGATGTCTTCAAAACAGTATACTACTAACCTAAGATCAATCAAACAAGAATCAATTATATAGAAAACATAAAATTAGTGTGGGAAAACTTGTGTGATTTTTCTTTTTGCAATATTATTGGCCTTGTTTTTAAAATTCTATTTTCTGACAGGTGTATGAGAAAATTTTCTCCTTTATCTGTTATTCTCACTATAATTGGTTGTACTTATATAAAGTGAAATGAAACATTTTTTAGATGATATTTTAATTCAAATGACCCTTGCGAATTCAGGAAAAATATTCTAATATTGGAATATTAAAGATTCTAGAAGGTTCTAAATATACAGTAAAAAGCCATGTTTAACTAAAAAATTTCCACACACCTATGCTTCAGAATCTACATTGTTTAACATCTATTAACATCTCTCAGAACTCTAAGGTTCTCAAAACAGAATTGAAAAATATTGCAGTAGGTTTCATCTATCCTTAGATTTTTAGAAATGTTTCCTCCAACATGTATTAGTCCTTAACAAATTTCTTTTTATTTGACTTTTTAAAAAGACTTGAAAGGGAGGGGAAGTCCTCAGCTTCAACTCCCTATGTATTAGTAAAGAATTGCTATAAATAAAATCATAAATTATTGATGGGCCCAAATTGCTGATCAGCCAATTTTAAACTACAAATGTGCTATAGTTTGGCTTGAGTCACTTAAAAGAAACATTAAGTTAGCACTGAAGAATCAGGAGATTTTGAAGAAAAATACTGATTTCTGGCACAACCTGATAAACTGGAACATCTGCCAATGTTAGGAATGCCTTCCTTCATGGCAACACTCAGCTATAGCTAAGCAGTGTTGCTGCATGTAGGAGGGGACATACCAGAAGAAACTCCTGCTGTTGCACTTATGTTTTCAGCCTGGCTCTTGTAGGCATTTTGGTTTACAATCTCTAATTGTATAGTAATTGGCCTTAGTCCCTTCTCAATAAATGGAAAAGATTTAAACAGAAAATATACAAAACTAAAGCTTACAGCCTCTATAGAGATAAATCAATAATAACACAGAGAGTTTCATCTTACTAGAAAATGAACAGTATTAAAAACGTCTCAGAGTAAAAAACTAAGATGCCCATTTCAATCAATCAAAACAAAGTATATATAAAGAGAATATCAGAGCATTGTAAGGAAAAACTAGCAGCACTTCAAAGTAAAGAAATATTCTCTTTATGTCCACATAAGTTTTTCAGAAAGTAGGATAAAAACTCATGCTCATTTTTCTTCATTTAATAGGCATTTTTACACAGCTCTTACAAGTTAGATACTGTGTGTTGGAAACCACTTGAGGACTCCATTATAAAAGTACTTGATTGGGTGTATTTGGAGGGCATGAGAAGGAAAAGTGAAAACTGGTAAGTTAGCAGCATACTTTATATCACAAACAGTCACTTTCAGTGACAAATCACAGATAGAAAAAAATCACCTATCAAAATATATAGAGAGCCAAGAGTTAGAAGAAATCATAAAATTCTGTGAATGAGTATGGAGCTAAAATTGGTCATAGCCTAGAATTAGTCCTTGTTCACTGAAACATAATTGTAACTTTTGACTATTTTTTCCCAAATAAATTGTAGAAAAGATAATTTGCAAATAAACATTTTCAGTCATTTCTGTATGCAGAATAAGTTTTGATAATCCTAGCTATTACTTGACATATTCATATTGTTAGAGTTCAGTTTCCTTATTGAAAATCAATCACTAAATTTCTAATTTGGTTGTTTCTTTCATCCAAAATACAGTAACTAGACATTAAGACTCTGAGAAAATTTATTGTAAAAATGTTTTAAAAAGAAAAAATATTATGATATAAAGGTAGAATTATTTCTAAATGAAATATTTTTTCAAAGTATTCCATAAGCACTGGGCTACCTAAATACATTTTGAATAATTTACAGACCATTCTAAACCTTTTTGAGAACTTTAGCAACTGAATGAGTAGTTAGTCATTTCTCTCACTTTGATCAAACATTTCAGTATGAATTCATTCACTCAATTCTAAGGGCCATATCCTTTGAAATTATTCATAAATCTTCTATGCTCTATTGTAGAGAAATATAAAATTTAACAACACTTTTTAAAGTCTCGAATTAAACTATCCTGAATTTTTAATAGCACTCTAGGTTGAATATGACATCCAGGATCCTTTGGAAACTATTAAAAACTTGCAAACTCATTTTGGATGAGACTTTCTGAAGTGTTACCACATATGCATTTTTAGACACTCTAGTTTATTTTTCAAAGAAAATATTCTTTACTTTTTTAGAAATAGGCCTGTAATATTTAGTAAATTTTTTCCTCTATTGATAATATGCTCTATAACCTTGAACAAATTATTTACTTGACTAAGTTTTCAATTAACCACACAGGTAATTAAGATGATGAGTGTTTGAGCTTTTTAATGTCTGAAATTAATTATATATCAAAGTTTCAGTAAAACACATTTTAAACTTCTTATTTTGAAGTAATTTAAAATCTATAGGAGAGGTACAAAAATAGTAGAGAATTTCTACATACTCTTCACTCAAATTCCTTTAATTTTAATATCCTACATTGCTATAATATATTTATCAAAACTGAGAAATTAATGTAATTATAAGATTATTAATTCAAACTTCAACTTGGATTGGATTTCACCATTTTAACTAATGCCTTTTTTCCATTTCAGTATCTAATCCAGGATACCACGTTGCATTTAGTTGCCCTCTCTCTTTAGTCTCTTTCAATGTATGACAATTTTTTAGTCTTTGCCTTTCATGACCTTGACACTTTTACAGATACTAGTTAAATGTCCCTCAGTTTGGATATGTCTGATATTTTCTAATAAATCGATGAAGGTTTTGAATTTGGGGGAGGAATATCTCAGTTGTTATGTACCCTTCTCATTGCATCATATTGGGATAATGTGATATCAACAAGACTTATCCATGGTGAGGTTTACACTGGCCACTGGTTAAGGTGGGTGTTTGTCAGATTTTCCTACTCTAAAGTTTCTATTTTTCTATTTTTGTGCTCCATGTACTAGAAATAAGTCACTAAGTCCAGCCCGAACTAAAGTAAATGAGAATTCAGCTATACTTCCTGGAAGAAACGATATCAAATACCTTGTGGACATACAGTAAAACCACACTATACTTAATAAATTTGTGGGAGGAACTTTGGGGCTATGCAAAGATCTTGTTCTCTTTAATCTTTACCTGCTAATTTTAGCATTCATCAATGGAACTTAGCTAATGCAATTAATTCTACATAGATTAACTGAAATTCTTCATGAGAAAGATTTCTTTCTTCTCTCCTATTTTTAATTTATTCACAATTTTTTAATAATTTATATTAGTATGGCTTCATGGAGATTTATTTTGTTTTTGCATTTTAATCTAATATTATCATTATTTATTATTTAAGTTATTCCAACTTTTGCTATTAGGAACCTCCTCATATTGGCTTCTGAGTCACTTTGACATGACCCCATCTCTGCTTCTTGTGTGTGTGTGTGTGTGTGTGTGTGTGTGTGTGTTTCACTACAAGATGATACTCTAGGCTTATATTGTCTGTGCATCAGTCCTAGAATAAGTTATTTTTCCATGCAACTCCAGTTTATTTTATTAGGCAATGATATTTGTATTAGTTATGGCTTAAAAACAATGGAAATTTATTTTTTCACAGTTCAAGAGGCCAAAAGTCCAAAATCAAGATGTCAGCAGAGTTGATTTCTTCAGGAGGCTCTGAGGAGAATCTTTTCCACACCACCCTCCTAGCTTTTGGTGGTTCCTGGAAATCCTTGGAATTTGTTGGTTTATAACTTCATCACTCCATCTCTACCTGTGTCATCACATAGGCCTTCTTCTTTCTGTGTCTCTCTGTGTCTAATCCTGTTCTAATTTTCTTTCTTTTTTTTTTTTTTAATGAGACGTAGTTTCGCTCTTGTCACCCAGGCTGGAGTGCAGTGGAGCGATCTCGGCTCACTGCAATCTCCACCTCCCAGGTTCAATCGATTCTCCTGCTTCAACTTCCAGGGTAGGTGGGACTACCGGTGCATGCCACCACGCTCGGCTAATTTTTTTTGTATTTTTAGTAGAGATGGGGTTTCACCATGTTGGCCAAGATGTTCTTGATCTTCTGACGTTGTGATCAGCCCACCTCGGCCTCCTAAAGTGCTGGGATTACAGGTGTGAGCCACCGCACCAGGCCTTCTCTTGTTCTTACAAGGATACCACTCATTGGATTTATGGCCAACTTTAATCCATAAATGGATTAAATTAATCATAAGATGAGTGTGACCTCGTCTTAACAATAACATCTGCAAAGGCCCTTTGGCCAAATAAGATCACATCTCTGAGGTCCCACTCACTGCAATTTTTGCCAAATAAGATCACATCTCTGAGGTTGCAATTTTTAAGCCAACATATTGGCATTGCATTTTTAAATAAAAAATCAAAGTGTATATACTTTAAAATATATAAATAAGAATGTGGCATTTTAAAAAATGTTAAAATCTACTTGATAATTATATGTCTTTACCCTTTTATTTTACATTGCATTTCCAAGTCAAGAAATGTACTTAGACATAATACTCTATTCTACAGATTTTGAAGGCACATTGAATTTTTCAATTTTCGATGTGTAAATTTCAAAATATCTTTGTGAAAATCAAATCTTATGCTCTAGGTAATGATGGTGCTATTAAAAAAAAAGTTTGTTTTCAGTCTTCCACATAGACCAGAGAAAAGCAAAAACTGTAAAATTTACATTACTTCCATTTAACTTAAAGTTATTTAAATTTTAATTTGCTTAAATTGTGAAATATTTAAAAGATACAGCAAAGGTATACCATAGTAGACACTCTGTGTCCACCACCCACATTTAACACATGGTTTGGTCTTTTACAATATTAATTTTTAAAAAGAAAGTAAATTATTCTAAAAAGAACTAAAATACTAGAATAAAATTGAAGGCCCTCTTTTTATCATGTATGTCCAAATTTATATCTGTAATCTCATATTCATAAACACAGCATTAATTAGTATGTTTCTCATATTTATGTTAATGACATTATGCTATACATATTCCTTTTTAATTTGCTTTTACTCTGTTATTTTTTCAAGATTTATCTATGTTAATACTATAGATATAGTGTTTTAATAACTTCATATTATGTAATTTTCTGGATATTAGAAAAATATAGTGTAATTGACTTAATTCATTTCTCTATTACTCAAAATGTAAGTTGTTTCATTTTTTAATATTAAAATAATTATTCACTTGCTATTTATGCACAAAGAATTGCTAATTCTTAGTGTATGTGGTTGCCTATCTCTGGCGGACACTGCTAAATTGTTCTTGAAAGTGGTTATTCTTGTACACATGCCTATTGGTAGTGTTGGCAAGGTTCTGCTTCTCCAAGTCCATGCCCATTAAGTACTATTATATACATGTTTATTTGCATTTTTGTCAATTTTATAGATATGAAATTATATCTCATTGCTTTAATAAACACTTCCTTAATTTCTAGGAATACTGAGTTTGTAAAATGTTTATTAGCAATTAAGATTTTCCTTCTGTGATTTGTCCAAATTCTTGATTTATTTTATTAATTGTTTTTGTTATGACATAGCAACATTTTATGCATTCAGACACTAAATCTTGGTTAGTTACAGGCAATGCAAATATAATTTTGCAGTGTATCATTTATGGTTTAACTATATATAGTATATATATATATACAGTTTGTTATACAGCTATATTAAGCATCAATGTGGTAAAATGAATCATACTTTTTATTTGTTGTTGTTGGCGTGGGTGTATTACTGAAGAAATGCTTTTTGCTCTGAGGTCTATAGCTATTCTTTTAAATTAGATATTTATTTATTCTGAGTTATATTTTTCCATATAAGCTAAAGTACTCATTTATGTTTTTTTTTTCATTTGAATAGGCAATGTTTAGGGGATTATATATTGAATAATCTGTCACTTCTTCAGTAAGTGGTTGTAAGACCATCACCTTTGGTATATTCTGAACTGCTATATCAATACAGATCTGCTTCTGAGCTATCTCTTTACATCCATTTCTCTATTTGCCTTTTCCTGTGCCAAAATTATAATATATTAATTTCAACTTATTTGGTAAGTAAAGTCTGCTTTTCTGTAGTATATGGGCAGTATAATATATTGGTGTATATATAATATTTACAGCTAGCATAGCCAAATTCAAATCCCAATTCTATCCTCTGTTCACAGTATGACAGTGGCAAGTTACTTAAACTCTCAGTTTCTTCTTGTGCACAATGAAGGTTTTAATGATTTTTATATCATAGTATTCATTCAAAAGTTAAATGTGCTCATTTATGTAAAGCATTATGGCTAACAAATAGTCAGTACTCAATAATTAGCTGTTACTCAAAATTGTCTTCACTTTTCTTGGTCTTTTACTCTTTATGAAATTTATGATCAGCATTTCGCATAATTTCATAAACCTTACACAAATTTTTACTGAAATCACACTAAATTTATAGAGTAGTTTATATAATCTAGTTAATTCTACAGATCAGCTTTGTTTGGGCAGCATTAATTCCTAACAGTAAGTTATGATAGAGAGAATACTAGTCCTGATAAACAGTACTTTATGGAGTAATTTTGCAAAATTTTATTGCTATAAAGTAATTTTAGAAACTTGTAGGGTTTTTTTTTTTTCTTTTAAGATGGAGCAGTTACTTAACAAATAGGTAAAGTAAGCCCTTTATGTTACAAATAAGTAACTTGAGGATCAGAAGAACTGTGACTTGGTCAGTGAGTGACAAGTGGTCTTGAGCAGTCCTCAGACTCACAACTGAAGTTTTCTCCCTGTGTACACTAAAATAGATTTTATCAAAAGTAGATTAGTTGTTCTTAGGCTATTAAAATTTAATGAGACATATTAATGTTAAATCTCTACAGAACATTGTTTAGTTTCTTTTTAATGACTCTGACATTACATGTATTTTAAAGTGCCTCCAGGTTGATAGGAACATAAATTGATTCTTTGAAAAACATTAAAAAGCTAATTAATAGAGATTCTTGATGAGAAAAATAGCATATAAAATCAGTTTTACTGTGTTTTGATACTTAACTCAAAAACTCCTGATTCCTTCTCTCATATTCTCTCTTTCCCTCCAAAGCCTATTAAACACTCAGCTACTCTGTAAATAGAGGTTAGGAGATATTGATTAGCTCTGCCTAGTGGCTGATGTAGAATCAGGCTTGCACACTGCCAGCAAGTCCTTTTGAATGGTGGCTGTGGGGAGGATCTTGGGTTAACTGATTACGTTATTCCTGAAAACATCTATTTCCCAAGTCACACCCACCTTACAGTGAAAATTGTATTTGACTGCAATTCATCTTTCAAAATTCTGTTTTGCTGTCATCTCTTTTGTGAATGCTTTTCTGACATCAGCCAAAGGAAAAAGCTAAAATGTTTTATTCATAGCTACATCCTTAAAGAAAAAAAGAATGTATCATAATTGGATAGAAGGCTTCCAGATAACTTTTAAAAATGTAGTACAAAGACCATGCATTTGAAACATGGCTTGCAAACCATAAATAAAAATCCAGTTGATTAGATTAAGGGAGGAAAATTGCTACTTATTTCCTCAAGTAGTTCTGGTGAATTTTTAAGCAGGCAGATTCTTGAGTCACTGTCTTGTTGAAAAGGATCTCACAGAAAAAAAAGGGTGATTCTGCATTTGCTGTTTACTCATTTGTTCATTTTGCAGCAATTTACACCAGGACTTATGATTGCTCATTCGTTTTAGAATGCATCAGCCAGGCACAGTGACTCACGTCTGTAATCCCAGCACTTTGGGAGGCTGAGGCGGGCAGATCACCAGGTCAGGAGATCAAGACCATCCTGGCTAATACAATGAAACCCCGTCTCTACTAAAAATACAAAAAATTAGCCGGGCGTGGTAGCACACACCTGTAGTCCCAGCTACTTGGGAAGCTGAGGCAGGAGAATCGCTTGAACCTGGGAGGTGGAGATTGCAGTGAGCCAAGGTCGTGCCACTGCACTCCAGCCTGGGCAACAGTGGGAGACTCTGTCTCAAAAAAAAAAGAAAAAAAAAAAGAATACATCTACTCAGACAGAAATGATTGAAAGACTACTTCAAAGCTTCTATTTTCAGTAGCTTGTTACTAAACTAACTGGTGAAATGAAATGATTCATGCTTATTGTCAGTTTAAAAGTGAATTTCGCTTTATGGAAATAACATCCTTCAAGCTATTTTAAAGGATCAGATTAAAATAATTAGGTATTGCATAAATTTTTTTTAATGCTGTGAGTCAACACTGACTCAAAATCATTTCTATGAAGTGTCCACCACATCTATATAAGTAACAGCTACCCAAGTGACACTGCATTGTGCCTATTTTTTTTTTCCTCATCGAGAGCACAAGCGTGGTCTCATCATGCTAGAGAAGTCAATTCTGTATATTAAAAAACAAAACAAAAACAATCTTTCCTGTAACATTTATTATTTCATGTCTTATGCCTCCATACTGTTTATTTGTCAAAATATATGGTTACAATCAGTAATGTCTACAAGTATATAATTAGCAATAAGTCACATCTGAACTTCATTTGCTCAATCTTTAATAGCTGTGTAACATTAAACACGTTACTTAGATGTCCTATGATGTAAAGTAGGGAAAAAATACCTACTTCACTAGTTTGATATAAAAGTAAATGTGATCTGGTAAGAAGTATAAACATCTAAAATATTGGGATAGGAAAACACAATTTTGTTTCATTTTTCCCTTCTTTTACTTCAGAAAGAATAGAACAAAATTCTAGGAAGATGATATAAGTATTTTCTGCTCTTATAGAAAGGAGAGCTTGTGTTCCTGAACATGGGAAGAAATCAGGAGATGCTGATACAGACAGGAGACATGGAAATACTGGGTAGAAGAGGGCGGTTCCCTGGCAAAGGCCCCATCCTCAAGCCTGGAAACCACAGCCCTATATGGGAACAGGCATGCCTGTTTTCACACTCTTTTGGCCTGCTATGCCCCTCTAACCTGTACCCATGTAGGCCCCAGACCCCAGGCTCCAGAGGCAGACCAGGAAATGACCAGAGGAGCAGAAGAATGGCAGAATGGTGCAGCAGAGAAGGAGAGAAGAGGAATGTCTGAACTCAGAGAGTTCAGCTGGGGCAATTGGAGAGGAGATCAGACACTGGACGGCCAAATTCCAGGGGAAGATCGTCTTCCCACTCCATCCCACTTCCAGCTCTCCATCCATTCTGTTGAGAGCCACCTCCACCACTTAATAAAAACCCTGCTTTCATCCTTGAAGTCCATGTGCAACCCGATTCTTCCTGGATGCAAGACGAGGATTTGGGTACCAAGAGGACACTGAGCTGGTTAACACTTAAGCCATCTGCAGATGGCAAAGCTAAAAGAGTGCACTGTAACGCACACCCACTTGGGCTTTGTAAGTCACAGCACCCACCCCTAGACACTACCATGGGGCCAGAGCCCCAAGGTACTGGCCCCGGCTCCTGTACCTGCCCGTCTGGATGCTTCCCCTCCGGTAAATGGTGTGAGAAGGTGCAGTGGCCCAACAGATGAGCCACACCCCTGTTGCAGGTCCTGCGAAGGGTCATGCAACTCTCATTTCAATGCTATCTACAGATGACTAGGGAGATGAGAAACCAGACAACCTTAGGGAAGTTGGGCCACAGTAAAGAAGATCATTTTCTTAGAATATTTGGGTAAGTAGATATAGTGAAGGATCACCGTGAGTGATTAGGAGGTCTTTGGAGCTGAGTCATATTATGTTACATACCCACCATTCATGAAAGCAAGACTAGTCTATTGCTTGTGCCAAAGGTGCTATAATGTGGGTGTTCAGTTGGGATCCAGAGAATTTTACTTTGTTTGCCTTCAGCACCTTACCTGTTAATTGCCAGGAAGAGTGAGATGAGGAAGTTCCTCATCTGATTCCTATATTTCACAAGCTCAACACAAAAACACAACACGCAGGACAAAAAAGTTCAATTCTCTGATATATGCATAACAGGGAGGATGACTATTTAAGAGAAATGTAGAATTAATATACAAATTTTACTTAGAAAGACAAAGAAATAAGAATGAAGAAAGAGATAAGAATTAGTAAAATTAGGAAAACAGGGAAACCAGGAAAAATCAAAGTTTTTAAAAAATGATTAAAATATTAAATACTGATAAATCAAGTTGAATGATGACTAAGAAGTAGCTTTTAGATTTGACAGTGATTTTTTCTTTCTTTTTTTTTTTTTTTTTGAGATGGAGTCTCTCTCTTGTCACCCTGGCTAGAGTGCAATGACCCCATCTCCGCTCACTGCAATCTCTGCCTCCCAGGTTCAAGTGATTCTCCTGCCTCAGCCTCCCGAGTAGCTGGGACTATAGGCGCCCACCACCACACCCAACTAATTTTTGTATTTTTAGTAGAAGTGGAGTTTTGCCATGTTGGCCAGGCTGGTCTCAAACGCCTGACCTCAGGTGATCCACCTGCCTTGGCCTCTCAAAGTGCTGGAATTACAGGCATGAGCCAACGCGCCTGGATGACAGTGATATCTTAAATCAGTAAAATAGTGAGGTAGATGCAGAGTGTATAGGGTTCATAAGTGATTGATGGTGTGAATATTAAGGTACTAAATGCAGAAATCACAGAATTGCACCTAAGAAACTTAAATTAAACGATAATGGGATCTAAAATTCAGTCTGTCTAGAGGAAAACTTATTCTTCCTAAATTAAAATGGTTCTCGGGGCCGGGTGCAGTGGCCTGTAATCCCAGCACTTTGGGAGGCCAAGGGGGGTGGATTGCTTGAGGTCAGGATTTCAAGACCAGGCTGATCAACATGGCGAAACCCCATCTCTACTAAAAATACAAAAGTTATCCAGGCATGGTGGCGGGTGCCTGTAGTCCCAGCTACTCAGGAGGCTGAGGCAGGAGAATAGCTGGAACCTGGGAGGTGGAGGTTGCAGGAGCCGAGGTCACATCACTGCACTCCAGCCTGGGCAACAGAGCAAGACTTCGTCTCAGAAAATAATAATAATAATAATAATAATAATGGTTCTTGGTTCTGTTTAGCCAACCTATTTTACTATTTGAGTAGGGGGATATCTTCAAGTGGTAAGAAGAGATGGATACCATTAGATAAGTTTGGTTAAAGGGAAGGGTAAACTGTGTCCCTCTTTGCTTATCACTTCAAAATCACTCCGCTGGTCAGAGTGTGGTAGAACCTAGGAAGACTCTATTATTTATTAATCTTTTAAAATACATTCTTCTAGTCAGTCATCTTAAAGGAAACATGCTAACAAGTATTTTCCTTCCCTCTTTTACATAATGTGAAGAATTATGTGGAATTGTGTTATGAGAGGAGATCTGTTAAAGGTCTAACCTTCTAATATAGTTGCTTGGAGGAATCAAGCCACCTCAAATGTGCCCTCAAGTAACTTTAATATTTGTATAAGCCCTTGAAAAAAATGAATAAAAGGATACCACATGTCCAACAGGAATGGAAAACAACGTGGTCTGTACTATGAAGATCTGCTACAGGAGATTGTAATGCCACAGTATAGTTTTGTAAACTATTAGAGAAGATGAATCAGAACCTCATCCATTCAGCAATTATTTCTTTACTAAGCATAAATAAAATAACAATATAATTTCATGCATACATTTCTATGAATGTGTGCTAATCGTAAGGAAGGCACATACCAGTGGAATATCAAATCAGCTTTAGAAATGGAATGACCAGGTACTTAGATTATGATGAATTCACCAAAAAAAAAGCCATGGTATAAAATGGGACCAGGCCCCCAGCTACTTTCTGGGACATAGTCCTTTAGATTGCATTGTGTTTAAATGTCTCTATGACACCTATTGCAAAGGAATCTGCTGAGAAACATATATTTAATTTTGAATATATAAATACGCAAAATGATTGGAAAGCTGCATCTTTTGTAATAAACATAATAGATGGCCCACTATTTCTCAAGTAACTAATGCTATTTCTCATATTATTTCTAATAATTAAGTAACTAAGTTAATATAATTTGTCCATGTTAACAGTTTATTTTATACTCTTTTAACAAAGCTAATGATATTTTATATTTTGATTTCATTAGAGTTATATGTTATTTTATGGCATTTACTAACTATGTTTTGGTCGTAATATGCATACTTTTAGGCTAGAAAAATTCTTAGGTTGAACCATAATAACAATACATAATTCATTTATATGAAACTGCAATTTTTACAATAGAATTTATAGAAAAAGATCCTAATTTTGTGATAAGTGGTGACAACTTACATTTGTCATTTGTTTCTCTTTAGAGCAAGATTTAGGACTTAGGCTTCTATCAAATAATTTTGATGTATTTGTTAAATATGTAATTATTACTCCAACCATATTAAATATTTCCAAATTGATAGAAACAGAAAGTGTAGTAAATATCTGAGAACATGACATGGATTTCAAATTTCAAATTAAAAGTCTAAAGCACAGATCAGCAAACTGTTCTTGTAAAGGATCAAATAGTGAATATTTAGGCTTTGTGAGCCATGTGGTCTCAGGTACAATTACTCAACTATGTTGTAATGAAACAACCTTAGGCACATGTAAACCAATAGGTGGAACTGTGTTTCCATGAAGTGTTAACTTCCAAAACAAGCAACAGGCTGTATTTGAAGCATAGGCCAGTTTGCTGACCCCTAAACTTTAGCATTTAAAGATGTATGCTTAAATTGTGACTAAAATATCACTGAGGAGCAGTGTTGTTCTGGAACCTAGATTTTTGAAATCTCAGACCTGGGTTTTATTTATCACCCAAGACTTTTCCAGCTTTATGACTTCTGACAAGTTACTTAACTCCTCTGGTGCTTCAAATTCTTAAAATGTAATTATAAATAATATCAATACCTATTTTGTAAAAGTTTTTGAGAGAACTACCCAAGATATTATAATTCATGTAAAGTGCTTAGCAAAGTGCATCTTGGCACATGAAAATCAGTCAATAAACCTTAGCAGTGTTATCAGCTATTCATTTTTCTCTCAGTAAAATTATATATTTCATAATTCAGAAGGTGCATTAGTTTTGCAAAGCAGCAATACACACATTATTTATTTAGGAAAAAATTTGATTGGTAAATTTTTGCCCAATAACTTTCAGCAACTTTTCCCCTTAGTTCTGTTATGTTTATTACCTAAAATGTATTAAAACAGCTCTGTATCATTTTAACTGAACACACTGTCATTTAGTTAACCAATTATATGTACAAGTTTGGGAATGCTTAATAAGGAATGCTAAAGTCTAGACACATTAGGATTAAAAAAAGCCAGATAATCTTTTACAATTAATTAAAAACCAGATTCGCATTAAAACAAGTGATTCAAAAGGTTTCCACATGTTAACCACCACTTATATGGCACAGCAACATTATGAAGAAATAATTTTGGTCTTGAAAGTGAGGCAAATGAAATATATGCTTTTAGTATTTCAACTGGTGCAAATTGGCAAACCCTAGAACTGTTTAAATATGTTTTAATAAATAAAATAAAAATGAGTGATATTTATCATGTGATAAAAAATAATTTCCAGTGAATTTTTCCTTACATCATTTATATATACATATTCATATAAATTTATATATGGCTATACAATTGCATAAATATGTTACACAATGTTCTGCCTCAATAAAGTTTGATAAACAGATGTATTGATATAATTAATCTCTCCTGATGATTTGTCATCCTACAAAAGTAAACATGGCTGTTGGCTTGCATTTAAGGGCCTCAGGATGTTCTGATTATTGTTTACATTTCACTTGATATTAAAAACTTATTATTTTGTATAATCTGATACAAATAGATTAAAAAACATAATGTTTCATTTTAATGTATGCACAATTTGAAAGCCATAGCAGCCTGCCTTTGGAATTAGAACTGTGATATTCCATGCCGCTATGGTCTGAATGTTTGTGTATTCCCCACAATTCATATTTTGGAATATAATCTTCAATACAATAGTGTTAAGAATTGGAACCTTTAGGAGATGATTGGTTCATGAGAGCTCTGCCCTTATGAATAGGATTAGTACCCCCATAAAGAGGCCTGAGGAAGCTTATTTATCTCTTCTCCCACGTGAAGATGCAGCTAGAAGGCACCATCTTTTAAGCAGAAGGCCCTCAACAGATAACAAATCGGCTGACAATTTGGTCTTGGATGTTCCTGTCTCCAGAAACTGTCAGCAATACATTTCTATTGTTTATAAGCTACCCAGTCTAAGGTATTTTTTTCTTTTTTCTTTTTTCTTTTTTTTTTTTTTTTTTGAGACGGAGTCTCTCTCTGTCACCCAGGCTGGAGTGCAGTGGCACGATCTCGGCTCACTGCAAGCTCCGCCTCCTGGGTTCACTAAGGTATTTTTTAGTAGCAGCCTGAACAGACTGAAACATATGCTCAAGGATCTTTGTTTCTGTTTACTCCTTTGATAGAGGAGGTTTGACTTCTGAACTTCACATGTATACCAGAATTTAATGAAATACTCTGTTTTTGAAAATATCCAATTTTGAACTCTTGGAAGAAAATGATTCTGTTCACTGAATTCTATCAGTTACTTGTACACATGAAATTAGAAGCCCATTGCCACTAATGAGCTTAATTTTGACTATTAAAACTTTTCTATGTTTCAAGGTTTTAAAGAATATCTTCAAAAACTTTTTGAGAATATGGAAAACATCTTCAAGTGTCTGTCTGAACTCTCTTTTCTCTCTTGTACTTTTGCCACTATCATGATTTAAACTAATCAGAGGACTTGATTACTAATAAAATATTTTAGAATTTGTAAATTATGGTAAAAAAAAAAAAAAAAAAACCCAGTGAATCTCCAGAACTCAGTATATGGGTTAAATAACTCTCATTACTCTTGATTTTTTTCCAAGCTTCAGTTGATAGGGTGTTTAACGATAAGCTGAGCTGGTCTTTTCACATTTGATTCTAATAACTGTAAGCCAGAAACCAAGATACCTAAAATGCATTAATATGTAAACATGTGGTTTACCTCAAATGTTTAAAGTTCTGGTTTTTACTATCAGAGACAAGCCAGACTTAAATTAATTGAAAAATGAAGAAGGAAGTTGTTAACATAAAATAATAAAGAATTTTTAAAGGATGATGGTCTACTATTTTCCCCCTCCTAAAATGATGAAATTATTAATTATAATACAACCTTCCTCAACACAAATCAAAATAGATTCAAATGTGTCCATCTTGTATTTCTCATGCTTTTATATGAGTTTTAAATATGCTTTCTGAAAAAGAGCTCATATAATTTTCCTTGTGGTTTATTGGTGATCTTAAGGATTTAAGAAATGTATTTAAGAATAACATTTTAAAAAAACCTGAAAGTCTACTGCTCTAATGTCCTTGATTTATTACCTCTCCACGTACAAGTCAGTCCTTAAAAGGAGCAACTGAAAATCTGTAGTGGAAGCCAATTCAGCAAAGCCAACTGAAATGAGTAATGCAGGACATGGCATAGAAGCAGCAAGGGGTGTCCTGGAGACTGTTTTTCTTAACTCAGGAAGCCCAGTTGTGCATATCTTTTCCAAACTCTGTGTCAGTGACATTGTGTTGGTAGCATGAATTCAGCCATATTGGGAGCACTACATCACAGAAATCAGACAAATGCTACGCAGCAAGTCTTTTATATTTTATTTTATTTTTGTTACTCGGGAGAGCTGGCTCATAAAGATTTATGAGCACACCATTGGAAACAAATTATGATGAACAAGTTTTTGATAAGGATTCAAATATATTTTATTTAGGTTTAAAAATATTCTCACTTAGAATTGTCATGAGTGGATTCAATAAGGAAAGGAGAAGAATGAGTAAAAATTAATAGCAATAATACTGCCTTTACTTTAGACAGTAGACTATCTATGTATTATTAATTCATTCAATTAATCATTTCTTGTTTTGTCTTGTATGTAATGTGTACCAAACACTATGGCTTGGTGAAAGAGTTTTGAAGATAAATGAGAAAGGCCTTGCACTTAAGGGGATCATATCTAAAGGAAAAACACATAAACAGAATGTGTGTTAAATACAAGTGCAGAGAAATGCATGTGATATTGTAGAAACATCAAATAAGAGAAACCAGGAACAGTGTAATGAGTATATGGTGGACTCTTAGACGAGGTGGCATCTAACTGCTGAATAAAGCTTCTTGGAATGTAGATACTAGCAAAAATACTGTTTGTTAAATTAGTAACAAAAAAGTAAATCTTGTCACTTAAAATTTTAAGTTTAATATTGATGCTTTGGCCAGGAAAGGAAACATCAGAAGTGTGAGTAGGAGCAGACCTCCAACCCTTTACTTTTATTTCTGAGGCTTCTCGCCCTCAATTTTTTAAATTGAAACACTGGACCACTGTCAGCCAGTTAAAGACAAATAGCATGGCTCCCAGCCTTTCCATGAGAGGACTTTGTGAATCCCCCATGGCCCTCATGTGGAGGGAATGTCAGTTCTATTCTAAACCAGTTTCCTTTCATGGAGGACCTAGCCATCAGGTGGGGCTGGAAGGAGGTCCTAGGGCAACTGAAGGCATCTAGCTGAAGGCTACACCTCAGTGTTACCTGAAGGCCACTGGACTAACTCCAGCCCCCAACAGTTCATCAATATGTTGACGCCAGGACTTCTAGACTTTTCTATCACATTTTCTTTCTTTCTTTTCATGGCTACCATGTTTTATACCCCTTCTTTGCATGCAATGTTGTGGGTGTTTTTACAGCCCAGGGAGATAATCTTGTTGGGTAAAGTTAGCAAGTGCCTTAGAAACCAGAAATGTAACTCAAAAAATTGCTGCTTCCGTGATTTCCTTGAAATAGGGGGATTTCAAGATTTCAGTCTAAACTTTCACCTAGTAAGGGCCTTTTTGTCCCCCAGTGATAGACATTCATTGCACAGTGTAAAAGGATGTTTCACTTTGAGTGAATACCCTCCTCCACTTGATTTTTTTTTTCCATGTAAGAGCTCATCACTGCCCAGTGAATTTAAGCAGTTCCTCTATGAGACAAGTTAATTTTTTCCTACTAAGAGGCATATTGTTAGAACAGCCCACCAAGCCCACATCTTTCTTTCTAACCTCAGCCTGGCAATAATTTAGAGTCTGAATTTTTACCTAACATTTCAAATCCTACAGTGACACCTAGTGAGGTCGGATTTTTCCCCATGAAGAGCCTGTTGGCCCTTCACCCCAAACCTCTAGTTCCCCAATTCCTTTCCCTCTTATGTCCCCTTCTTAGTGATCAGGCCCCATACCCTATTTGTAAGCAGAAAAACTCCACTTTCAACAGTTGGGAGGAAGCTCCCCTTGAGAAACAAATTCTAACCTCAGTGTTATCTCCATTAAAGGAAGGACAGCCATTAAATCCCCATGTTCTTTTGGGGTCCCTGTTCTTTATCCAACTAAATTGGCATTTAAACAAAAAGGGGATTTTATTTTTGGAAGTCAATCAGTCCTATTCTCTGGGATTTCAATGTTTCACTACAACAATAGCAAGGGAAGCCAGAGATAGTTTAGAAACTCTCCCTCCATCAGAGGGTCTCACCCAAATCCAACTATTGTACAATCTCTTCCGGACCCCTGGGGTACCCTAGGAGCCTTATGGGTCAAGTGGCTAGGAAACAAGCAGGGCAGAAATCTAGGGTATTGCATAGGTAAGCATGACTATTACTGTAGACTAGCTCCCTCCAGGATCATGGGTGAAGGTCATGCTTTCATTCATGGATGGCACCTATGATGGTTGCCGGGACCCAGAGGAGACAGGAGAAAAGAGGAAAAGGGGGGTGCCCTTTCTATCTTTCTCTCCACCCTGGATCACTATAAAGGAGGAAAAAGACACCTTCATATCCCCTCTTTTCTAGGTGGGTAACAACCCATCTTCAAGCCTGCAGTCCACTCAAGTGTAGCCCAGATCTCTTTTAACCTTCAGACCCTGAAGTTTGCTCTCAGCAAGCCTCATCTTCACTCATGTATAGAGACTTTCAAGGATTAAACCCAAGTATTTAAATTCTCCTAGAAGGATGTTATGTTATTCTTAAATCAAGCCTTAACAGCAGTTGAGAAACAGGCAGCCCTACATATAGCAGAGAAATTCAGAGATGAACAGCATGTCTCCTATAGCCAGTAAAAAAAAGCCAGTCAAAATGGGAAAGAAGGTGAGAAAGAGGTAGGATCCTTATTCCCAGTATAAAGAGAGGCATTGACCCTTGAAAACCCTAATTAGAACCCTAGTAATCCCATATATTAGTGGAAAAGAAAACACTTTCTGATGTGTATATTAGAGGGCTTACAGAGGCCCAGAGCCAAACCTCTTAACTATTCTAAGCTATCCATGATAAATCAAAAGTTAGATAAAAATCTCTCAGCCTTTTAAGAAAGGCTAAAGAGGCTTTGGTAAAACACACTTATCTCCTAATTCAATTGAGGAACAGCAAATCTGGAAAGACAAGTTTACTCAGGTGGCCTCTGATATCAGAAAGAAGCTGCAGAAACAAGCTATAGGACCAGATGGCACCTTAGAAAATCTCCTAAGAATAACCATCTTGGTCTTTTATAATAGGGACAAGGAGGAGGTCCAGGAAAATGAGAAGAAATACAAGAAAAAGCAGAGAGAAGAGGGATACCTTGGAATGGAATGAAGGTCTGGGACTCAATAAGCCCACTGTTGAAGCCACCCCTATAAACTGGTCAGTAACAAACTTTGCTACAGGCCTCTATCATGTTTTATGCCCTTTAGCATGACCTGTAACCCCATGATAACACTTTGTTTTAGCCTCTGCCATTTTACAATGGCAGCTTGGGTTCAATCCTGGCTTGGGGAATTAATACTTTCAAGTTAATAGCTGTGTAACTTTTACACAGCTAATTCTCTTCCCCCTTCATGAACAACTTCTAACTTCCTTTCTTAAATCTTCCTTTCTCTAAGTTGTCTTTAAAGGTTGTAGATTTTGTAAAAGCTGCTTGCCACCCCTTTGAAAATACCTTGTACACTCACAGTTAAGTCATAACCTATTTGAGGCTTATTGGTTTCACCTGTGAGGTTACTATGGTTAAAGTTCAAAAGCCAGAAATATTAACCGCTTGGTGTGGCTAAAAGCAGGTAACAAGATATTTAAAAGAATTTTCTTAAAGAGTGCTCAGCTTAATTGAAAGTGGATATCCAAGTTATAGGTATATTTAAAGGGCCTTTATGTTTTTCTCTTCTTGGATCTTGTTTTTCTGGAAAAGGTTTTTTCATGGTTGACTGAATTATTTTTCTCCATTTTGTTTAGCCACACTTAATGCATGCATGAGAGGCCTAAGATAATTCTGATGGCCTGGGGCTCCTTGGGAGAAGCAGAAAAGGTGACACAAATTCCATTTTGGGAGAAACATATATTTTCCTCATGGAACCCCAGGAATTGGAGGTGGATAGCTCCCTCTCAAAATCTGTTTTTTGTCTTCAAGCTTTACCTGTTTATTAGGCCCTAGATACTACATGTTTTCCTACTGCTGCTCTTAAAGGGCCCCACCCAGAGGCCAATAATCCAATTAGACAATTGACAAATGAAAAATCTTATAACTACTGGATCTTCTTCTGCTTGTCTTTGTAGTTATATATGTGTTGTGTGTGATGTTTATTAAAAAAGCTGTAATTGATTGGCTTAGAGAAAAATGAGAGCTTAAATCAATATTTTTAAAGAAAAAATAAAAGCTATAATGACATAGTTCATGTGACTTTAATCTTTAAGAAATAAAAATATTTTTAAAGATAATTGGTAAAATGCAAATGCCCTCAAAATGTAAATAGGTGATCTAAATCATGTAAGTCAGACACTAGGTTTGCTAAATTTTTCAAAGTTGTAAACTGCCAGCTTTACAACTTGGTAAGGCCTAGAGACGTACGAAATTGACCACACTGCTAACTAAGCTTAAAATTTCAGACTTTATCTGCACCTAGTATATAATTAAAACAACTTACCAGGTTTTACATTAAAGTTAAAATTGCTGATGGTTACCATTATAACATATAAATTAGACTATAAAAGAGATTTACATGCAAGGTGTGTAAGAACAGTGAAATGTTTTTGTGATAATGGTATATTAAAAGGCATGGAAATGTAAATCCTGCCTAGGGATAAAGGATTGTATTAAATTTGATTAAATAAAACTGAAGGCTTTAAGCAAGTTATGGAAAGATTGTAAAAATTAATCTTAAAAAGGAAATTTTGTGTGTGAACATATTGACTGAATTCAAAGGGATATTGTATTAGTCAGGGTTCTCTTAGAGGGACAGATCTAATATACACATATATATATATATATATATATATATATACGCATACACACACACATATATATTTGTGTGTGTATATATATATATATATATCACCTTTTTATATATATATAAAGTGGAGTTTATTAAGTATTAAATTACATGATCACAAGGTCCCACAATAGGCCATCTGCAAGCTGCGGAGCAAAAAGAGCTAGTCTGAGTTCCAAAACTGAGGAACTTGGAGCTTGATGTTCAAGGGCAGGAAGCATCCAGCCTGGGAGAAAGATGTAGACTGAGATGCTAGGCCCATCTCTCCTTTTCATGTTTTTCTGCCGCTTTATATTCACTGAAAGCTGATTAGATTGTGCCCACCAGATTAACAGTGGATCTGCCTTCCCCAATCCACTGACTCAAACGTTAATCTCTTTTGGTAACACCCACACAGACATACCCAAGATTAATACTTTGTATCCTTCAATCCAATCAAGTTGTCACTCAGTATTAACCATAACAAGCCCACCCCTTGTCAACTTGAACCCATACACATTTCCTGGGATCATACATAACCTTCAAATAAAGACAATAATGAGGTCATAATTACACCTAGCATAATACAACTATTCTTCATAGAACCAGAAATACACCAATCCCCTACCCAAATACTATTACATAAAGTTAACCATACTTAAATGCTGATATGAAGTCAATAAATCTTATGTCACATGACAAAGGAAGAAGAAACAGAAAGAAGATGTTTTCTTAGTACAAGTGTATACATGCACAAACATGTTTTTAACAAAAGAAGGAGAAAATATTTGACAATTACAGTCCTTGTTTCTGCAGCTGGTCATGTGGTCATAGCTGGTATTGGTAACTACCTTCTTCACTACCCATTCTGTATTCCCTTTTCCTTCAGCAAGCACGTCAGCAGGTCATGGTTATTTTCCTGGTGGAGTGACCCAAACCTTCATTCCTGAAGGGTCTGTACAATTTGTAGTCCTGCCTGTAATGGGCTGTTGTAGTTTCCCATTGACCTTAATCACAGGATGTGGTAATACTAACAGATGCCCTCAAGGATCTTCTGTATTCCATGCATACTCTTTCTTATCTCTGTAATGGAGTAGTAGACTGATTTCAGTTTGAAAATTGTCTCTACTGGCTCCTGGCTTTTGTGTGCTACAGAGGGCCCCTGAAATATCCAGAAGAGAGGTAAACAAAATCATTTAACATATTTAGATACATGGGATTGCCAAATTGATGTTTAATCTTTTTCAGGCTATATTTTAGTAAATAATATTAGTATATGACCCCAAAATCGTATGGGATGTCTGTATATAGGGTGCCCATAACCTAGAGGTTTCTTTGTGGGGGAAAATAAAACCAAGGACATTAACCAAAGCCAAGCCCCATGTATTCAAATCTTAGCAGTCATAATATAGCCACTAGTTATCTGGGTGTGTCAGCAGCCTTGGGTTTTTTGAGCTTTTCTTACCTCACCCTTGTTCCATTTTAGTGCATGTCCTCTAATAACCCAAATTGTTTCTTCTCACTTAGAAGCTATAAAACTCTAGATGGTACCAGAAATTGAGCTCAAGATGGAGATGTCTTTCTTCCAAGGATCCATAGATAAACCCTAAATGCTGGTCCCCTACACAACGTCCCTCTCCACCAGGAAGTAGTTAGAAGAATCATTGACCCATTACCCCTAACAGCAGTTAGGGTGTCCACCCCTAATGAGGGAAATGAGAGAGGAAAAAGGAAGAAACTGGTCAGGATGGCAGTTAGGGTGAGTCATCAATTGATTTCTTTCAAACAAAAAAGCAGCCTGCAGACACATAGAAGGGAACTTGCACATGGGGGCTTGCCTAAGAAATGCCCACAGACACACAGATAAGAAAGGCTACACAGGTGACCTGCCTAGATGTACCCGCAAGGAAAAATTCCATCTTCTGACACATGCGCAATAAGGGGAACAAAGCAATATGGAGTAACTCAAGCTAAGTGCCTGCATGCACATTAGTAGGATGGGATGGAGCTACCAGAAATTCACACCTTATGCAAATGAGACACCCAGTTCACAACAGTTTGTTATAAAAGACTTTGCATTCAACTCTAAAAAGGGCAACCCATTCAGGTCCCCTCTCTGCTCTGGAGAGCTTTCTTCTTTCACTTATTAAATTTTTGATCCAACCTCACCCTCTGTGTCCATGTTTCTTAATTTTCCTGGATATGAGACAAATAATTTCAGGTGACACCTCACACAGTGACAGACTGCCACATTGTGTTGCATTGGTGAGACTGTAACAATATCAGATATTTGAATCTATAACAACAAAATATTAGATATTTAAATCCATAACAACAAAAACATCTTTCCCTCTAATAAAGCAGACATCTCTCTACTCCCTCTGGATCTAGCTATATACATCTATCATTATATTATCATGATGTTTCCTGTGTTCAAATTGTCAAAGAGAATTTGATATGTTCTCAGATTCAGAGATGATAGTGTAGTCTGATGGGTTCTTCCTGCCGTCTGCACAAACAAAATGAATTCATGGAGACTATAGCATTGCAGTAAAGAAAGATTATAATTGATGTGAGGCCAGCCACCCCATGCAGAAGAAGGAGTTATTACTCAAATCAATCCCCCTGAAGGCTCAGAGGTTAAGGGTTTTTCAAAGATAGTTTGGTGGGGGGATGCTAATTGAATAGGTCAGAGATGAAATCATAGGGAATAAAAGGTGTCCTCTTGTGCTGAGTCAGTTCCTGGGTTGGGCCACAGGACTGGTTGGCAGATCTGGGTAAGACCATCAGGTTGTCAGAAATGCCAAAGCCTGAGAAAACATCTCAAAAGGCCAATCTTAGGTTCTACAAAAGTGATGTTATCTGCGGGAATAATTGGAGAATTTGGAAATCTTGTGTATTAGCCCATTTTCATGCTGCTGATAAAGATATACAGAAGACTGGGCAATTTACAAAAGAAAGAGGTTAATTGGACTTACAATTCCACATGGCTGGGGAGGCCTCACGGTCATGGTGGAAGGCAAGGAGGAGAAAGTCATGTCTTACATGGATGGCAGCATGCATAAAGAGAGAGAGCTTGTGCAGGGGAGCTCCTCTTTTTAAAACCATCATATCTCATGAGACTTATTCACAGTCATGAGAACAGCATGGGAAAGACTTGCCCCCATGATTCAATTACCTCCCATTGGCTCCCTCCCACAACACATGGGAATTCAAGTTGAGATGTGGGTGGGGACAGAGCCAAACCATATTATTCCACCCTTGGCCCCTCCCAAATCTCATGTCCTCAGATTTCAAAACCAATCATGCCTTTCTGACAGTCCCCCCATGTCTTAGCTTATTTCAGCATTAACTCCAAAGTCCACAGTCCAAAGTGTTATCTGAGACAACGCAAGTCTCTTCTGCCTATGAGCCTATAAAATCAAAAGCAGGTTAATTACTTTTGGGAGTACAGGCATTGAGAAAATAGAGCAATTCTAAATTGAAGAAATTGGCCAAAACAAAGGGGATAGAGGCCCCATGCAAGTACAAAATTCAGTGGGGCAGTGAAATCTTAAAGCTTCGAAATGATCTCCATTGCCTTCATGTCTCACATCTTGGCCATGCTGATGCAAAAGGTGGGTTCCCATGGACGTGGGCAGTTCTTCTCTTTTGGCTTTACAGGGTACTGCCTCCCTCCTGGCTGCTTTCATGGGCTGGCATTGAGTCTCTGCAGCTTTTCCAGGTGCACAGTGCAAGCTATAGGTGGATCTGCCATTCTGGGGTCTGGAGGATTGTGGCCCTCTTCTCACAGCTCCACTAGGCAATGCCCCAGTAGGGACTCTGCATGAGAGCTTCAACCTCACATTTCCCTTCTGCACTAGCAGAGGTTCTCCATGAGAGCCCTGCCCCTTAAGCAAACTTTTGCCTGGGCTTCCAGGCATTTCCATACATCCTCTGAAATCTAGGCAGAGATTCCCAAACTGCAGTTCTTTACTTCTGTGCATCTGCAGGCTCAACACTACATGGAAGATGCCAAGGCTTGGGACTTCCACCCTCTGAAACAACAACCCAAGCTGCACCTTGGCCCCTTTTAGTCATAGCTGGAGTGACTGGGACACAGGGCATGAAGTCCCTAGACTACACATAGCACAAGGACCCTGGGCTGGGCCCACAAAACAGTTTTTTTCCTCCTACACCTTTGGGCCTGTGATGGGAGGGACTGCCATGAATACCTCTGACATGCCCTGGAGACATGTTTCCCATTTTCCTGGGAATTAACATTAGACTCCTCATTACTTATTTCTACAGCTGGCTTGAATCTCTCCTAAAAAAAATGGAATTTTCTTTTCTATTGCATTGTCAGGGTACAATTTTTTCAACTTTTATTATCTGCTTCCTTTATAAAACTGAATGCCTTTAACAGCACCCAAGTCACATCTTGAATGCTTTGCTGCTTGGATGGATTTCCTTTGCCAGATACCCTAAATCATCTCTCTCAAGTTCAAAGTTTCACAAATCTCTAGGGCAGGGGCAAAATGCCACTAGTCTCTTTGCTAAAACATAACAAGATTCATCTTTGCTCCAGTTCCCAACAAGTTTCACATTTCCATCTGAGACCACCTCTGTCTGGAGTCTATTGTCCATACCACTATTAGCACTTTGGGCAAAACCATTCAACAAGTCTCTAGGAAGTTCCAAACTTTCCCACACTTCCCTGTGTTCTTCTGAGCCCTCCAAACTGTTCCAACTTCTGCCTGTTACCCAGGTCCAAAGTTGCTTCCACATTTTCGAGTAACTTTTAAGCAACACCCCACTCCTAGTACCAATTAACTGTATTAGTTCATTTTCACACTGTTGATAAAGACATACTCGAGACTGGCCAATTTAAAAAAGAAAGAGGTTTATTAGACTTACTGCTCCACATGGCTGGGGAAGCCTCACAATCATGGTGGAAGGCAAGGAAGAGCAAGTCTCATCTTACATGGATGGCAACAGGCAAAAGGAGAAAGAGTTTGCAGGGGAACTCATCTTTTTAAAACCATCAGATCTTGCAAGACTTATTCACTGTCATGAGAACAGCATGGGAAAGACTTGCCCCCATGATTTAATTATCTCCCACTGGGCCCCTCCCTCAACACATGGGAATTCAAGATGAGAGTTGAATGAGAACACAGCCAAACCATATCATTTTGTCATCTCAGGAATAATAGCTAGTAATTATTTAGAATTCAGGCCCCTCTTATCCTTCTAACTTGGTGGCCTCTCATTAGTTTGCATAAGGGAAGTTTAGTTTTGAGAAAGTGCTATTATAATTTAAATCATAAACTAAATTTCACCCAAAGTTAGCTTGGCTCCTGCTCAGGAATGAACAAAAACAGCCAGCCTTGAGGCTAGAAGGGGGATGGAGTCAGCCATGTCAGATTTCTCTTACTGCCATAATTTTGCAAAGGCATTTTAGGAAGAAAGGCAACATTTTCCATGTTGATTTTATTATTAGGAGATCTGATATCTATATCCACAGGTATACTTGCTCAATTATGTTTTTGCATATGTGAAAGAAAATCTATTTTGTGCTCGGCATATAAAAGTGAATTATTAGACATTAGTTGAATAAATAATAAGTTCTTTAAACGTTACCCAAAATGAATTTGAATACTCAAATGCATAGAGCATGTCCAAATTGCACTAGATGCTTTTTGAAGATTTCCAGAGGTACTTTTACTGTCTTTGCACACAATGGTAATTTAAATAATAGATTGTCTTGACTATTGGTTGTATGAAAATAAGTGAGAGAGGAGAAAGGAAGAAACCAATCAGGCAGGCAGTTAGGCTGGGTCCTAGGTTGAATTCTCTCAAACAGAAGAACAGCCTGCAGGCACAGATAAGGGAACATGCACAGGGGAGCTTGCCTAAGACATGCCCACAGCCAACAATATAAGAAAGGCTGCACAGGTGACTTGCCCAGATATGCCCCCTCAATGGAAAATTCCATCCCCTGACATATGTGCAGTAAGGGAAACAAAGCAATATGGAGTAACTCAAGCTAAAAGCCCACATGCTGATTAGGAAGACTGGGTGGAGCTATCAGAAATTTGTGCCTTATGCAAATGAGATGTCCAGCCCTCATCAGTCTGTTATAAAAGCCTTTGCATTCAACTGTAAAAACAGCAACCCTCTACCAGGTCCCTTCTCCACAGTGGAGAGCTTTCTTCTTTTGCTTATTGAACTTTCACTCCAACTTCACCCTTTGTGTCCACACTCTTTAATTCACTTGGTCTTGAGACAAAGAACTCCAGGTGACACCTCACAACAAGACTGTAGCAGAAGTAATTAACAATAGAAATAATGAAGTCCATTTTACACTACTGGACATTGAGCATTAAAGCCAGATAAATCACCTGAAAGCCCGAATTATAATGAACGAAACGTTATTCGTCCAAATCTTAGATCATGTAATACTTTTACACTCCGGAGTCATTGCAATAAGGCAAAGGCTTCAAATTACATTACATCACTGAATGTTTACTTTCCTCAATTAGTTACGTTGAGCCTTAGTCACTGAGGTGCCATTAGTAAATTTATAAGAATGTTCTCCAAGTGATTTTTCAGTGATGAGGTCTAAAACATAAAGAAGATACAAAGAATCAATCCTAAAAATAAATCTGTTAGAGTTTGAACCACATGGTAAATTTCAAATAGTGAAAACTTAATATCCACGGAGCTGTCTTTATGGAGAAATGTTATGATACATACAATGTTAACACAGTCATCTTGAACACTGTGTAATGATGAAAAATGCTAATTGTATCCAACAGAATGTCTTAGAGGGGTAAATGTGAAGGTTATCCAAAGGAGAAGAAGATCTAAAAATTAAAATAATAACCAATAGTTGAATAATGCATTACATTTTCAAAATACTTTAAGGAATACTTCGTTTACTCCTAAAAATACTCTGTCCAATGGAATTATTTTTATCATGAATCACATGATATTTTACTTGAAGACAGAGGGCTAAAAAGAGCTGTAATTGAAATTTGATCAGCAGTATTCAGATTCCAAATTATGGATTCCTCATATCATGAGAAGATTTTTTAAGGAATTCCTGTAGCCAGAATGGAGGTGAATCACTGAATTATGGGGGTGGACATATTGAAAATGTATCCTGATCACCTGGGTAATTTTCCTTAGTGGTGGTGGTGGTGGTGAAGTGTTCTGATCCCTTCAGTGCATATCCTAGGGTAGACAATGTGGCCTCTTATTGACATTCAATCACAAATTCCTTTTCTCTTCTGTGATATGTGAAGAGAAGGTGAAAAACTTTTTCCAAAGTTTTTCGTAAGCAAGTAAAATTCAAGTAGGTTCTAAAGCAAAATCTTTAAAGCAAGTGATTTTATGGATGTTAAACTCTTTCAGTACAGATAGCTGGATAATTTGAGTATGCAGAAAGAAAACTTTCTGAGAGAAGGATAATTTACTGCCTGGGAACACCAGGGGAGTTTCTTTGTTGGTATCTTAACCAAAAATAGAAATACATGTAAATTAATGACTGTTCCTTGGCAGTTTTAGGTGATGCCTGGCTTTTGAATAATGTAAACTAAACCACAAGGAGTATATAAAACTTCCATTTAATCTAATTTATTAAAGACTGTTTATATCCAAAATGTTAAAGGATACATAGAGATAAGCACAACCAGGTATCTGCCATCAAAACATTTATAATTTATTTAGTGATGATACACACAGAGATTTTTTAAATATTACAATAAATAGTATATAAAATATAAAGTGAAAGACAAGGAGAAAAAAGAAAATTCTTCACTGGGAAGATGATACAGTATAGACATCATATAGAATTACTATAAGGAACGGACAATAAGTCAAAACGGTGGAAGGGGTAACTAAGAAAAACATGCTTTGAGAGAGGTTTGAGTTTGGGGATGGCTTGATGAGGCCAGCATAAAAGGATCTTGTCAAGAAGACTGAGAACTAGAGATCTAAAGACACAGTGGGAACTTAGAAGCCATGGGAGGCCAGAGAAAAAAGAGTCTCCAGTGAATTCAGGTCTTTAAAGTATTCATTGTCTCTGGCACATAAAGATAATTGTTTCATTCCCAGTTCAGTTTCCAAGAAGTAGAAACTGGTGGAAGAAGAAAGTAATGTCAATGGAGTAAAGAATGAATGGAAGAAAAAAGACAGAAGATGTGAGGTGGGTGGAGTAACACTTCTTTATAAAGAGCTGTGGGATGAAGATGCTTAGTTGAGTAGCAAAGAGTCTCAAAGAGCAAACTTAAAGGGCTGAGAAAAAAGAGCCAGTAAAGACAGTTGTAAGAGAAGACATACTAAATGAGTCATTGCCTTGGATGAGACTGAATCTCTGACCCGGAGAAAATGAGGTAACTTGCCCTGAGTAGAAGGAGGGACTCTTTATCATCTAAGACTGGAAGAAAAATAAAATATATGGGTAAGGTTTTGTATGGATGTTTGGTTATGTAGTACGGATAAGTAAAAATGAACAGAAATTGAGAATATTCATTTTTACTTGCTCCAGTTTTCTACTTGAAATAGAGTTACTAGAATATTGTGAGACAGGATAAGATTTGAAAAGTGGAATAGTCAGTGAAGGGAATGAAAGATGAATCTAAGGACAAATGAATGTATCACTAATAGATTTGAGGCTCCATCTCTGTCTGAAAATCATTATTTTTTGGTGTCATCAATCTACATGGTTGCACTTTTTAATTTTAAAAATAGTTTTAGAAGAACTTAGGAAGCTGCATCTGTATGAGGAAAAGGACTGTGGGTTTGAGTCACAATTGCAATTTTGCTAGGCAATTTCAGCAAAATGACAGGAGTACAAGATGGTTGAAAGCGTTTGTGAGTACAATTTCAGACGAGTAGGCTAAGCCCAGAAAAGTGAGATCAGAATCATTTAACATATTGAGTTAAAGTGGAGGGATAGAAGAATTGGAGTTATGAAATTGAAAAGAAATTACAAAGGAAGTGATGTCTAAGAGGTCAGAGGACTGGAGGTTGTGGTTCGATAATGAGATTAAATTGAGACATCTGATTTTTAACAACTTAAAATCATAAAAAAAAAGGGTAGGTGAAGTGCATGTGTGTGCGCCCCCATGTGCATGCTTCACTTATCAGAGCTGCTTTTCTTCAGTTCTGAATCTCACTTTTTTATGTCGTAATTCTAATTGTTGTCAAAATTCATGTTGTATTCTTTAATGTCATTTATAGTTCAGAGCTTTCCTCTTTAAAAAAACAAAAAACAAGACAATCATATTGCAGCATCAGTGCCGCCACCTCTGAACTGATTTTGGAAGGCCTGCTTGGCAAACAGCCAAGTTTTTTTGAATAGCTGATTCAGCTCAAGTAATGAGTAGCATCTCATCCACAATGTAGGTATATGAAGACAAAATGATTTTAGCAGGTAAATTGTAGACAAGTCAACATTCTTGGCAGGATCTTTGTGAGTGTGGACCTACAGATTTCTAACTTCTGAAGGCTGTTTGCTAGTCACCACTGCATTAACTTGAATTGATTTGTTATTGCATAAGCTATTGTACATGCTTTAAACCATAGATTCTTCTAACTGCTAGATTTCACTGTACAATTTGAGGGGTTTTCAACAAATAAAATGTATATTTGGGTACAAGAAAAGAGTGATACCTATAGGCTCTGAAACTGGTAAGAGAAAAGTTTAATGTTGCATAATATTGTTTCATTCTGGATCAAATATTGACATGCATTTGTGTTAAAGGCTGTTGAAAGCTCCCCTTGGCCATCCTTCGATTTTTCTATCAGCCTGCTTACTTTTGTCTTTCTTGCATTTTAAGATACCCTTAACTTCCCAGATTGTCTAATTAAGGATAGAGCACTACTGAGGAGATATTATAGTAAGTATAACTTGCTTTGTTATTTTTTCTTGGTAACCAAAAATATATTTACCAGAAACTCTCAAAGCTAAACAGTGAGCATACCTTGTTTGTGGTAAACATACATTCTTTTTCAGATTAATATATAAAGATATTGAGAAAAAGATATATATGTATATACATATTTCCTTCAAAATACTCAGCACTGTTCAAGGTGTTTTGGAAACATAGACAAAAATGGAACTTAAGTCATGACCTCAAGTCCCTACAATCTAATTGGGGCAGATTAGCATCATGCAGTAAATAATAAGGGCCAGTGAAACGAGGTGAAATATGAAGTGCTGAGCGATATGATCCTGATAGCCATTTTTTAGCAAATATTTATGGAGCACTTCAAGTTTCAAATGCTTTGCTAGGCACTGGGCATATAATACCATAAAACTGATGAAAATACCTGCTCTCATATGTCTTATAGTATAGTGGAGCAGATAAGGATCAAAACAAATAAGTAATACATTAAACAGCAAAAAAAAAATGCTAAATAGAAACAATAAGTAGGAAAAGAGTATACGAAATGCCCACAAGGAATTTGATAATTTGATAATTGATAATAAGGAACTTGATAGAGTGTCCAGTGAAAGATTCACTGAGTAGAAATCTGAAGGAAGTGAGAATGCTGAATTGGTCATGCAGATAACTGGGAGAACACATTCTAGGCAGGGGGAAAGTAAAATACAATGGTCCCATGGCAGGAGAATGTTCCAGGATGAAGGGGGCACAATAGTGGGAGTAGAGTCAATGAAGAGAGAATGGTAGATAATGAAGTCAGAAATATAATGGAGACTCAGACCGTGTAGGGATCTGCAGCTCATTGTAAGAACTTTGGCTATAACTCACCATGAGAGAATTTAAGATGAGAAAGGACAGAAATCACAAAGTAGGTGGAAAGAAAGGATACATTCAGGATTTGAGATTTGCACTGGGTTTTGACAGGTGGACAGACTGAAATGATGCCTTATTACTGATAAATAATAGCTCAATAAGAGCAAAGACACAGTAGGAAGTACTTTCCAGTCTTTGAGGATACGGTGTCTTGTGTGCCTTGAATAGAAGAAATATTCTTGGATTGGCTAATTATGGTGGAAGTAAATTTTGCATAGCCATTAAACGCATAAATAGTAGCTTATATGTGATAAAATAGAAAGATAGGGAATTTTGGAAGCTTTTGACTATCAGAGTTGAATAAACTAAAGAAAGACCAGAGAAAGACTATAGATAGAAGGAAAACAGAGAAAAAAATTATTTGCTATAACATTTTCAAAAATCAAACTCCATTCCTAGCCTTTAGTGGACTTTGAATTTTTTCCCACAGTTTATTAACTGGGGTAATTTCGCATACACTTACAGAATAATTGATAATGACAATGTAGGAAATGTAGTTTGAGATGGTAGAGAAGAACAGGAAGTGAAGAAGTTTAAGAAAGATTAGGTAGAAATAGAAAAATAAAAAATATCTGAGTATGCAAGACAAGCCAGAATTTTGTTAATAATTGTTATTAATTTGTTATTAAGAAAGTTTCATGTGTTCACATTTATTGCTGTGTAGTAAACTGTTCTTGAGGTTACCTCCAACTGGTTCTTCAGCTGTCAACATTTTGAGACAGACAGTGTTTTGAAGCCTGGTTTTCCAATGGTAACATAAAAAAGGACTTTAATGTTTTCCTCCTACTGCCTCTCTGACATGGAAAGATTTTCACACAGGTTGATACATTAGGTAAAAATAAAAATTGCTTTCACTGAGCCATTGGACTGCAAAATGCAGTAAATTTCTAAATGGCAACACTGTTTATGACTGTGGGGGACTGCTTACTAGAGGGTATACTTTAAGGTGTGTTGGGATCTGTGAAATTCCATTTTCTATGGGATCTTTAAATATATGAGCTGAAACGATTCATGTTTCTGGGCCAAAAATCAAAAGGGAGTAGCAGAGAGTTTTGTAAAAAAAAGAGCCACACAATTTTCGATGTTTCTCAGAGTTTTAGTGATTTATACATGTGAACAGGGGTTAGTTGTTTTTCATGTCTTAGTGCAGTGGCTCGATCTCGGCTCACTGCAAGCTCCGCCTCCTGGATTCACACCATTCTCCTGCCTCAGCCTCCCGAGTAGCTGGGACTACAGGCGCCCGCCACCACACCCGGCTAATATTTTGTATTTTTAGTAGAGACGGGGTTTCGTCGTGTTAGCCAGGATGGTCTCCACCTCCTGACCTCGTGATCTGCCTGCCTCGGCCTCCCAAAGTGTTGGGATTACAGGCGTGAGCCACCATGCCCGGCTGTTGATGTCTTAAATGAGACAACCCTGCCATGGAAACACACATACAGTGGCTTAATTATCTCACACAAGAATTACTAATGGGAAGGGAGCAGGAAGCAGTGTTGTAAGACTAGGGTCCTCAAACTACTGCCCATGGGCCATATCTGCCTGCATTCCTCCTCAGCCTTTGTTGTTGTCGTTGTTGTTGTCGTTGTTGTTGTTGTTGTACTGAAGTTGTACTGAAACACAGCCACACTCATTTATGCATTACCTATGGGTGTTTTCACCATACAGTAGCAAAGTTGAATAGTTGCTATAGAGATTGCCTGGCCTACAAAGCTACATATATTTACTACGCAGTGTTTTGTAGAAAAAAATCTGTAAATCCCTATTGTAAGAGAAACACCGTCTACCAGAACCACACTGCTATTAGGTAACACAGACATTCTCTTAATGTAGGACAAAGGAAACTAGGGAAAAAGAAGTGAGTGGCAGAGATAACCCAGTAAAATAATTCATGGGGGCCAGGCGCGGTGGCTCACGCCTATAATCCCAGCACTTTGGGAGGCCGAGGAGGGCTGATAGCGAGGTCAGGAGATTGAGACCATCCTGGCTAACACAGCGAAACCCCGTCTCTACTAAAAATACAAAAAAATTAGCCGGGCGTAGTGGCGGGCGCCTGTAGTCCCAGCTACTATGGAGACTGAGGCAGGAGAATGTCGTGAACTCGGGAGGCGGAGCTTGCAGTGAACGGAGATCGCGCCACTGCACTCCAGCCTGGGTGACAGAGCGAGACTCCGTCTCAAAAAAAAGAAGAAAGAATTCATGGGGATTATGAAACAGCTTTTTTTTTTTGAGTACTACCACCTATGTACAGCTTTGAATAACCACATCATCCATCTTTTATTTATTTTTTTAATAATTTTTAAATATTTTTATGTTTATATTTTATATATTTATATTTATATTATACATTTATATTTTTAAAATAATTTTATATATTTATATTTTATATATTTATATTTCATATATTTATATTTATATTATACATTTATATTTTTAAAATAATTTTTAAATATTTATTTTTAATAAAATAAGAGTTTATTTTCCAAGTTCTATAATTGTAATTCTCTTAGATTGCTTTAGGATGAGATATTTATTTTCATTCATCAAACACAAATACAACTAGTATGAAATATTATGAACAATTGTTAACATTTACGTTTCTTTACCAAGGCATTGAGAATTAGGCTCTTGTCATTTTCTCATTCTCAAGTACTTTTATTATAATAGCAATGGTGTTGTTCTGAAGCTATAAGAAAGAAAATTGCTACTTGCTGAGATCACAATGTAAAAGTAAAATAAATGAGAAATTCAGATCTGTTACACACCATGTATACTACTATTTATTTAAAGACTGAAATTTTTTGTATTTATTGAGTGGAACATTCCATTTTTTCTCTGTTAAAGAATAGATTTATCGCTTCTATCTCATCCATGAAAACTTAACAGACAATGCACTTTATGAACACATGAAAAAAACCTTGAATTCTGCAATAGAACAATGGAAACTAATTTCAAATACTACCCATGACAGCTATTTTTGTTGCTGCTGACACAGCTGTTGCAGTCTTTGTTTACAAAACTGAATTGATAAATAAAAAGTCAATTTTCATTTGTTACAAGACAATTATTCTTGAATTCTGAAGGAACTGTGCTTCTTTCTACTTTTTCAATAGGCTTTAATTCTAATTTAATAATAGTCTAAAATGGTAGGGATGTCTGGAGTAGCATTTTTCAAACTTTTTGGTCTCAGAATACTTTCACATACTCAAGAATTAGTAAAGAGTTCAAGGAAATTTTCTTTATGTTTATCTATTGATATTTATAATATTAGAAATGAAAAATGATGAACTTTAAAAATATTTACTAATTCATGTGTATTTCTAAATATGGCATATATACATAAAATTTAATGTCTTAACCCTTTTTAGGTGTGTAATTCAGTATATCCACATTGCATGTCATTTTTAAATGACAATAATAAATACTACACATGATGACTAATAACATTATGACTAGAATAAACCATAATAAACACTATACATGGTGATATATTTTAATGCCAATAAATGTTTATTTATTTATTTTAACAATAAAAATAGAAAGATTCCCTTGCCCCTTAAATTCTGTAAAGGTAAAAGATATATTTTAATGCCAATAAATGTTTATTTATTTATTTTAAAAATAAAAATAGAAAGATTCCCTTGCCCCTCAAATTCTGTAAAGGTAAAAGTGGAATTGTTTTACATTTTGTACACCTTTTTAATGTCTGGCTTAATATAAGACAATTGGAATCTCATATCTAGTTCTGCACTCGTTATGGCACAAATAGGTTGTTTTGATTGAAGTATATAAATAAGTTGCAGGTTTACTTAGATATATAGTTGACAGAAAGAACAGTATTGTAGTAGCCTTTGCAGATAATTGTGGATTTGTCATGTAGCCTACACTATGCACTTAAAAAAAGTATGAACATAAAGAGGTAAATAACATCTTAGTGTACTTGAAAATAATTTTGACTTCACAGGACACCCCCCCCCCCACCATGAGTCCTTGGATAATACATTAAGAACCACTGGTCTTGGGTACAGCATTTCAATTCATTCAATTCATGGTGGCCAAGGATACAATCCAAATATTGGAGTTATCAGAAAAAAAATTACTTTTAAAATATTTTAAAAACATTTTTAATTTTGATAAAAAGCATATAACATAAATGTTACCATCTTAACCATTTTTAAGTGTAGAGTTTAATTGTATTAACTATATTTAAGATGTTCTGTGACAAATCTTTCAAACTTTTTTATCTTGCAAAACTGAAACTCTATCCCCATTGAACAACAACTCCTGTTTCCGCTTCTCTTACTCCTGGCAACCACCATTCTACTTCCCATGAGTTTGACCACATTTGATACCTCATATAAATGCAATCATAAAGTATTTGTCTTTTGGTGACTGGCTTATTTCACTTAACATAATGTCCTCCAGGTTCATCCATGCTTTTGCATGTGTCAGAATTTCTTTTTCTTTTTAAGGCTAAATACTGTTCCATAATGTATATGTATGCATTTTGCCTATCTACTCATCCCTCAATGAACATTTGGGTTGCTTCTACCTATTAACTATTGTGAATAATGCTGCAATGAACATTGGAGGGCAAATATATCTTCATGATTCTGCTTTCAATTATTTGGATATATACCCAGAAATGGGGTTGCTGGATCATATGTAATTCCATTTTTTATTTTTTGAGGAAACTCTATACTATTTTCTATAGTAGTTGTACTACTTTACATTCCCACCTAGAATATGGAAGAGTTCAGATTTCTCCACATCTTCCCAATGGTTTTTTTTTTTTTTTTTTTTTTTTTTTTTGAGATGGAGTCTCACTCTGTCATTCAGACTGGGGTGCAGTAATGCAATCTCGGCTCACTGCAACCTCCACCTCCTTGGTTCAAGCGATTCTCTTGCCTCAGCCCCCCGAGTAGCTGGGTTTACAGGCACCCGTCACCACACCCAGCTAACTTTTGTATTTTTAGTAGAGACGGGGTTTCGTCATGTTGGTCAAACTGGTCACGAATGCCTGACCTCAAGTGATCTGCCCACCTTGGCCTCCCAAAATGCTGGGGTTACAGGCCGGAGCCATCACATCTGGTCAGATATATTATGTGGTGGGTCAGGGTGGTTTCGGAAAAGGCCACATTCAAGTGGGAAAACAGGAATGCATATTCTCATTTAGGGCAACAGGTCCAGGCTTGAGGGTGGAACCCTCACCAGGGACCCCCCCCCTTCTACCAGGTATTTTCCGTCCTCCTGTTTGTATTATACCTGTCTGTCTTTAGGCCAGTACCACATTGTTTTGATTACTTTACCTTTGTAACATGTTTTAAAATCAAGGAGTGTGACACCACCTCCAACTTTTTTATTTTCAAGAATTGTTTTGGCTTTTCAGGGTCCCTTAAGATCCCATGTGAATTAAAATAATTTATTTCTATTTCTCCAAAAATGCTATTGAGATTTTTATAGGGATTGTGTTGAGTCTGTAGATCACTTTGAGTATTACTGATATCTTCCAGTGAACACTGGATCGCTTTCAATATATTTCTGTCATCTTTATTTTGTTTAAGCGATATTTATAGTTTAAAGTGTACGAGTCTTTTGCCTCCTTGGTCAAGTTTATTCCTAAGTATTTTATTCTTTTTGATGCTACTGTAAATAAATTATTTTCTTAATTTCCTTTTCATGTTGTTCATTGTTAGTGTAGAGATACATAAATTACTTTTGTATGCTGATTTTATATCCTGCAATTTAGCTGATTTTTTTTTTACTCATAACAGTTGTGTGTGTGTGTGTGTGTATGTATGTGTGTGTGTGTGTGTGTGTGTAATCCTTGGGGTTTTCTACATATAAAATCATGTCATTTGTAAATGAAGATAACCTTACTTTTTCTTTTCCAATTTGGATGTCTTTGCTTTTTCTTACCTAATTTCATTGCCTAGGACTTCCAGTACTATGTTGAACAGAAGTTGTGAGAGTGGGTATACGCTCCTAAATTTTGATCTCAGAGGAAAAGTTTTCAATTTTTTATTATTGGATATGTTGTTGTCTGTGATTTTTTCATAGATAGTTTTTATTATGTTGAGGTACATTCTTTTTATACCTAGTTTATTGAGTGTCTTCATTAAGAATAGGTGATGAATTTTGTCAAATGCTTTTTCATCAATTGAGATAAACATGCAAATTTTGTATGTCATGCTATTGATACAGTGTATTACATTGATAGATTTTTGTACTTTCAACTATTCTTTCATTCCAGGAGTGAATACCACTTTGTCAAGGTAGAACATCCTTTTAATGTACTGTAAAAACTAGTTGAGGAATTTTGCATAAACATTTATCAGGGATATTGATTTGCAATTTTCTGATGGTGTCTTTTTTAGGCTTTGATATCAATGTAATGATTGCCTCACAAACATATTTGGAAATGTTTCAATTTTTTCAATTGTTTGGAAGAGACTGAAGAAGATTAATGTTAATACTTTTTTAAATGTTAGGTAGATTTTTCCACTGAAGCCATCTGGTCCTGGGATTTTCTTTGTTGGGATGTTTTTCATTATTGATTCAATCTGTTTATTAGTTATAGGTCTGTTAATTTTTTTTATTTCTTCATAATTCAGTTAATAAGTTGAATATTTAAAAATGTATCTATTTTTAGGTGTTCCAGTTTGCACATAAATGTTCACAATAATCTCATGTACCTTTTGATTTCTGTAGCATTCGTTATAATACCTTTCATTCATAATTTATTTGTCTTCTCTCTTATTTTCTTAGTTGATCTAGCTAAGGGTTTGTCAATTTTAAAATATTTTCCAAAAAACAACTCTCAGTTTTGTTTAGCATTTCCGTTATTTTTCTATTATTATTTCATTTATTTCCACTATTATCTATATTATATCCTTCCTTCTGCTAACTTTAAGTTTAGCTCCTTCTTTCTTTCTGTTCCTTGAGGTGTAATGTTAGGTTGTTTATCTGAGATCCTTTTTCTTTTTTAATGTAAATGCTTACCACTATAAGCTTCTCTCTTAGTCCTGCTTTCTCTGCATCCTGTAAGTTTTGGTATGTTGTGTTTTCATTTTCATTTTTCTCAAGATATTTTTAAGTTTTTATTTTTCATTCTTCTTTGTGCCATTTATCATTTAAAAGTATGTTGTTTAATTTCTATATGTTTGTGTATTTTTCAGTTTTTCTCTGTTACTGATTTCTAGTTTTACTCCATTGTGGTCAGAACATATTTTGTGTGATTTCAATTTTCTTTAATTTGTTAAGACTTATTTTGTGGTCTAACATGTGGTTTATCCTGGAGGCTGTTTCATGTGCACTTCAGAAGAATGCGTACTCTGCTTTTGATGTATGGAGTGTTGTGTATATTTCTTTTAAGTTCAGTTAGTATATACTGTTCAAGTCCTCTGTTTCCTTATTGATTTTTTGTCTGGTTGTTCTATTCCTTAAGGAAAGTGAGGTTTTGAAGTCTCTTACTGTTGTTGTGTTGCGGTTTATTTCTTCCTTCCATTTTGTCAAGGTTTGCTTTGCATATTTGGTAGCTGCATATATACCAATACACCTATGGTGTTAGGTGTATATATATTTATAATTGTTGTATTTTCTGGTTTGTTTACCCTTTTGTAATTTTTAAATGCCCTTTGTCTCTTATTACAGTTTTTGATTTGATGATATTTTTTCTGTTATAATTATGGCTACCCCTCCTCTCTTTTGGTTATCATTTGCATGGCATATCTTTCTTCATCTTTTTACTTTTGGCAAATAAATGTCCTAGTATCTAAAGTGAGTCTTTTATAGACTTCATAATAGTTCATAATAGTTGAATCTTGTTTCTTGTTTGTTTTGGATTTTCTAGCTATTCAGCCAATCTATGTCTTTCAACTGGATAATTTAATTTATTCACATTGAAAGTAACAACTGATGGACAAGAATTACTACTGTCATTTTAATCTTTTAATAATTAATATTTTATATCTAAGATTATGTGAATTAATCAAGGGTGAAAATTTTATAATAAAGCAAAAAATTCAAAAAAGCCTTCAAAATGACCCATTTCTTCATCCTGCCTTTCCACCTGGCTGGTGGACTAATATAAATTTGCATATATCATAATTATTGGGCTGACTCAGCTAAGGTATATTAATAATATTAATTATTAAAACATTTAAAAGAAGAGTTAAAATTACTTGTCATTCTGCTTTAACCCTTGACAAAAGTGGTAGGACAAATTTAAGACACAAATAAATCTCCCATTCTTCAACTATCCCCAATTAAGTTCACCAAATATTCATGTTTTCACCTACTCTGTGTAATATCTGCACAGTCAGCCTGATAACCATCTTCCTAAAATTGTTGGGTTGGCTTTTGTTGTTTGATTTTTCCCTTTCCTGCCCATACACTACATTATTAATCTCCACCAATCCTTTTAATCTTATTGCTTCTCATTCATCTATGTGAAATATCACAGGACCACCATCAGTATCAAATGCCATAATAGCTACATTGCAAAATGATAGCACAAGACATCTTTCAGTGATTGAAATGATATCAAATCAATGAGAACTTTGTTTAACTAAAATGTCCAGCATTCTGGTGAATATCTTGAAAGCTCAAACTCTTCTAACTTATTGTTAAATATCACCTAACTCTTTATGTCTCTGTAATTTTGTCAGGCAGCATAATGAATCATGGACTATTGCATATCTATGCACTGCTAATGGGTGTGCTTGTTTTTGGAAATTCTTCACTTTTAAAAGACAAAAGAGTAATTTCTATGGCAATTTTGACTTCATGCTTATTGATTGTAATACATAGCTGGATACATGCTGCGGTAATTAGTAAATCTCTGAACTGCCTCATGATAAAATAAAACAAAATAAACCTGTCTTTTGAAAAATATGACTCCACCAAATGTATGTATGTTTGCTTTAATGATGAAATAATCTGCATAATCTGTTCAGGTAATCTTTACCCTTTTGGTGATCTCCTTCTGAGAAAAGATTAAGCCTTTTCATAAACTATCTGAGTCATAAATACTGAGACAGATACTGTGAGGAGGTTACTTGCAAGAAGTTATTCTATCTGAAAGAGTACATAACCTACCTCTGTGTCCTTTTGGGCTATAAAATGTAGTTATTTGCACTCCTTAGTTTACAAAGATATATATATAATATACATTATATAATATGTATATTATATAATAATATATCATTATATATATAATAATATATAATTTTTTTCTGTTATACTTATGGCTATCCCTCTCTTTTGGTTATCATTTGCATGGCATATCTTTCTTCTCTTTTTACTTTCAGCAAATAAATGTCCTAATATCTAAAGTGAGTCTTTTATAGATTTCATAATAGTTATATATTATATATATTATGTATATTATATAATATATTATATATAGCTATATATATATGTATATAGCTAGGAGACTCATGGATCACTGCTACAAAGGAAAAAAAGAAGAACATTTAAAATTACCGTATTTTCTTGAATACTGGCTAAAATGCCAATATATACAAACACTATGTAAAATATAGATACTGCCATATATAACTGAAAACATAGTCTTTAAAGTAAGAAAAAGCATTTGTTTTTATTATCCATCTTAAATATTAACTACTCACTCTTCTTTGCTTCATAGTTCCTTTTTGATGAAAGAATGTTATATTTTAAATCTTAATTTAAAAGATATTGAAATATTTGTCATTAGTGTGTAAATTAAAATGTAATGTTTTACACTCTGAATATAAAAGATTGTAACTTAACCTAATAATCCAGACAAAGAGATATTTTTGTCCATCTGTTATAGCATTACTCAAAAATGATAAAAATCTTTCAACTAAATTCTGAAGATCATGCTTGGGATAGTTTGTCTTAATAAAAAAAGTCTATGTGGTACACGTGAAACTCACTTTGACCATCCTTGGGTGGCATTTAAAAATATAGTCATTCTGCAAAATGGAGAAAATAAGCATGAATTTCCATGTTCAGAGAGTGTGACTGCATAGTCTATCAATATATAAGCTGTGTGGCACTTGAAATGCATCCATTTATATGATCAATAATAGAATTACATGAATGTGTTTGAAAAAATAGTAGATTGGAATGACTTACTATTTATGGCTATTTATTACTTTAAATATGTTTACTAACGTGAGTTATATTATATATGTCACACATATGTAATGTTCAGTGAGAAAAGCAAGAATGCAAGATTAATATGTAGAATGATCACATTTTCATTAAATGATCTTTGTTATGGTTGGACTGGCTATATTTCAGTCACAGAGCTGAAATCTTTGAGTACTCATGCACATAAAGTTTGATATAGGTCAGAGTCCTTCATCTTAGAGCTACCCTCACTGGTGCCCATAGTGTCCAAGGTCATAGTGGTTGAGAAAGGAGAAGCAAAAAACCTGCACCAAAATGTGCTACGTGTTCTTTGTGATGCAGTCTTTCATCCAGAAACAGATGCATGTTCCACACACTCATGCAAGTGGTCCTAGGAGCATGCAAGAGGGGGTACATGGAGCACTGGGTAAGCATTAACTCTCTCTGTCATATACAAATTCTTTTAAAAATCATAAAATATTTTTTATCTAATATATTAAGGAAACACATCAAAATATTAACATCAGCTTTCTGTTTGTTTGGTTAATTTTAATTTTCTTCTTTGTATTTTTCTGTCCTTTCCCAAATATTCCATAATATGTACTACTTTCATAAAATAATTTATAAAGTATTCAAACTATAAAGTACTGAAGTCATGCAAATTACTTTAGCTTTTTATCTGTGTTAGAAACTGTTAATTCACTTATTTTTTAAAATCCTTTTGGGCCTCAGTTAAAAACAATTGTATTCTTTTAGCACACATTTTGTGATTGGGTAAAAGACTGTAGATAATTATATTTTAAGTTTGATCAGCTTACATACAGTTAAATGCATTTTGTCAAATTTGTAGTATAATATTTTTAAGTTTATGTTAAAATCGTAAAAACAAACCATTAAAGCAGGAATCAAAAGATAATAAACTATGTAGTAAGGCAGGGGATATAACGAGACAAAATGAGAGGATGAGACTCAGATATAATTTTAAGGGGAAATCACTGACACAAAATGTCAAAACATGTATCTCTGATATAAGCAGCTGTTAACAACCATGAGATATGAATATTGCTAATCCATTTTAGTTTTCAAATAAATTGATGTAGCATCCATGTATCAAATTATATCAATCTATTTAGATCTCTCTCAAGAAGTCTGCCTGGGGCTTGAGTTACAAACTCAGAGAACTCTTCAGTCAATAAAGGTCAGTTCCACTGCCAAATATCAGGTGAAGAGGTAACTGGAGGGTCAGTTTCACTGTCATTGCTTCTGTCAAAGCTTCGTTGGGGCACTGATGAAAACTCTCCCTGTAAGGTCAGTTTTCACAGATTTTAGTGTATTTCACACATTTCAGCTCCTAAAGTTACAGCTTTTTAAACGAGACTGACCTGCTCAGCTGTTGTTTCCAATGCCCACACACTAGGACAAGATAGATCCATAAAAGGCACAGATTTTCATCTTTCTTTCTATCATCTACTCCCCTTTGCTGTATGACTTTACAGCTTATTCCGTCAAGAAACGAGTTTATTTTTCTACCCCTTGAATCTTCCTTGGTCTTGTCTCTTGCTTGATTAATAGAATATGGTACATGTAATGCTGGTACCAGTTTCAAACTTTGGCCTCAGAAAGCCTTTCATTCTTCTTTTCAGTTTCTTAGAACCCTGAGATTGCCATTTAAACACACCCTGCTAGCCACCAGAATGAAAAGAGACATGTCACCCTCATCACTATACCTCACAGTAAGTGAGGACTTTAAGATGAGCCAGTTTCCAGCCAACCCATCAGAGAAACGTGAGCAGGCCCAAGCATGATCGGTCAAGCCTGGCCCAGATCAGCAGAACCACCCAGCTAAACCATAGATTTATGAGCAGTAACAAATGATTGTTACTTTAAGCCATTAAGTTTTTGGATGAGTCGTTATTCAGAAAGTCAATCAACTCCCAAACCCCACAAACCTTTAGAAGACTTCTATGGAGTACAGGAAACCAGTCTAGACTAAAACTGCCTTTCTTCCTGGTGAGTTTTCTTTAGCTGCCCTTGGTTCCCTTTCCTGTCAATGGATAGTAATTTATCAAATAATTTCTATTAATATTGAACTAAAAAAATGAAGAATTAAAGTCTAGAACTTATTGCTTCCAACAGGTTCTTTTCTTCCTGTGCAAATTTACTGAGATCCTTAATAGTGACCAGCATTGCATGCCAACAAGTACTGATAAAGACAGCATTTAAAAAATTTTAAAAGCTACCATAACTTTCCCAAGCGAAACGAAATTCACAAAAGTTCTATGCAATCAAATATGCTACAAAATACCTTTCTGCATTTGCTTTGACATGGAAGATACAGACATAGTCTTTAGCAAACTGCTAAGCCTAAATTGGTCTACTGTAAGTGAGCGAGAATGGATCCTGGTAGATTGCAGGGAGTACAACAGGTTTATTCCTGGGTTTATTATGTCTTAGCTTAACTCGGCCAAGTTGCTTAACCTCACTGAGCCCTATGAAGCTTATCTATAAAATGACAGAGAAAATATGATCTGCTTCACCAGTGGCCCAGGTAGGTAAATAACCCCTAGCACCAGGGCACTATACAGTGCTTGTAACCTCTCTGCCTGCAGTCTATTCCCACTGGATTAGAACCCACAAAAACTGTGTATTTTTCATGTCCCATACAGGGTCACTGAGGGCCTAGGTCCTCTCTATTTCTCTTTCTACACACCTGTACTTTATTGTTTTGTGTAGAGAACTGAATAAAACGCCTGTCCACCGTGCACATATGGCACGTCCCATATAGGATAATTAAATAAATACTTGTTACGATCACGATGATAAAGAAGACAGTGAAGATAGATACTTGTAGGAATTTGGGAATCACTTAAGTAAAATCTCAGATAGCAAAGGACCAAATGACTTAAATGAGACATATGATGCAAAAGTCTTAAAACTTTGAGGCTAAATAAAATGTGTGCAGCAGATCAGTGATTTTCTGTGATTTCCCAGAGAGAAAGTACGCATCTCTGCTGAAAGCCTGGTAATTTTGGGGCATTCATAGATAAAGGTGGTGTCGTGGTTAAGAACATCAGACAGAGTAGCCTGCCCATTTTTTATTCTGACATTATCGTTTTCTAGCAATAAGGCACAGATGAGGAACTGCTTGTTGTAGTGCTTAAGAGTGAAGCCTCCAGGGCCAGTTGTTCTGTCACTTAGCAGGTATGCTGTTTCAAGGAAGTTATAATTTTCTGGGCCATATTTGTAAAATGGAAGTACTAATAGTACCTACCTCACATTGTTGTGGTGAGAATTAACTGAATTAATACATGTGAAATATTCAATTCGTACATGTAAAGTCTGAGCCTCATTTTGCATTTGTAAAATGAGGAGACTAGTTTACACACTCCAAATTTGCAGATATGAGTAGCATGTTTACGTGATATGAGTAGAATTTGCTATATAATTTAGGGAGTATGCATGTTACTATCATGATCAACATTACAATCATGGTTATTGGTTATCTTTAAAGGCTAGATCTCTCCCAGTTATTGCCATGAAAAAAATAAACTGAATTTTTATTTAAATTAAATTACTTTCTTTTTGAGTTCAAAAAATGTTTCAAGTTAACGCTAAGAAACATTTTTATAAGTATATAAACCAATACTTTTGAGTACCTAATATGTGTCAGGCATGTCAGGAGCTTCATTATTACAATGTTTTCAGGAGTACTGTTGCTACAAAGTAATGTAGTCCCTAATGCAACTTTATTAATTTTTTACATAATAAAACTTCAGCTGAAGTTTTTAAACCTAGTAAAAGATAGATCCAGTACTCAAGTTCATGACTGATTGACTCTTTCATCATTATCTGACTATATTTTATATTTATGCACCTATGAAGTGGTATCTACATGAAGTAAAAACATAGGCAAAATGTAAGATATGTAATAAAGGATTTAATCATTTGACTTGATAATTTTCAAGCATATAAAAGCAATAATTAAAATTATTACTTTGAAGTTTAGTTTTACTAAGAAAGAAAATATAGGCTTATAGAAATACAAATAGAAAATTGTTTATAGAAACAACAGTTACCCACAGAAGGAAAGAATAATGCTATCTTAATATTTACAAAATCAAAGAAAAAATATTGGGCTACAGTACCATAAGAACCAAAGACTTTAGGAAAGGGTTTTTAAATATTTCAAGAAAAGGAAACCATGGTCTTATGGCAGAGGTAAGAAGGACTATGACGCAAGCATCAAGCTAATTCCACCAAAAAACCCACCATAAACAAAACCAAATCTGACTGTTTATTTTTATTTTTTAATTTTTATTTATTTATCTTTTTGAGATGGAGTCTTGCTCCGTCACCCAGGCTGGAGTGCAGTGGCATGACCTTGGCTCACTACAACCCCCACCTCCCAGGTTCAAGCGATTCTCCTGATTCAGCCTCCTGAATAGCTGGGATTATGTACGTGTGTCACCATGCCTGGCTAATTTTGTATTTTTAATAGAGATGGGGTTTCTCCATGTTGGCCAGGCTGGTCTTGAAATCCTGACCTCAGGTGATCTGCCTGCTTTGATCTCCCAAAGTGCTGGGATCATAGGCATGAGCCACTGCGCCCACCTCTGACTGTTTAATTCTGGATAATTTCAATGAAGAAGAAAAATAGGAAATGGAATATACCCAAAGTAATAATGAACAATTAGCTCCATGAAGTAATTATATTGTAAAAAAAAAAAAAGGAATAAAATTTAAATTTAAAGTGAAGTGGGTATTGAATAACAAAGACAATGCTTACCAAGAAGTGGCATGAAAATATACTGAAAATTTCAGGCACGCAGTGGCTCACACCTGTAATCCCAGCATTTTAGGAGGACTAGATGGGCAGATTTCTTGAACCCAGGAGTTCAAGACCAGCTGGACAACATGGCAAGACCCTGTCTCTACCAAAAATAACAGTAATAATAATAAAAACTAGCTCAGTATAGTGGTGCATGCCTGTAGTCCCAGCTACTCAGAAGGATAAGGTGGGAGGATCAGGCCACTGCACTCCAGCTTGGGTGACAGTGTGACACCTGTCAAACAAAAAAAAAAAAATAGAAAATTTCAGTGACATGGAAACCTTAAATTGTTATAGGATTGTGATTTTAGAAGCCAGAGATAATTTCTAAAGGATTTTTTGCTTGTTGTTTCTCACTTTAAGAATGTTCAAGCTAGAAAAGGAAGAAAATGAAAGCCTTTCATGAGTATGCTCTATGGAGTCTGGCAAGTCCTTTCAAATATTTAAACTGGAGAAATCATTGCCCAGCCCTTTACAAACATAAAATATCATTCTTGTGACTCACCCTTAGTATGGGTCATAAATGTTCTTGTATATGCTAAGGAATGACAGAGATGAGACTTTTTATGTGACATGTTTGCAACTTTCTACTTGTGTGATATCAAAGGAGTTATTTAGCCTCTTTTTGCTTAGTTTTTTCACCTGTTAAATGAGGATAAAAATAGTTCTTAGCTCATAGTGTCATTGTGAGATTTAAATGAGTTAATATACTTAACATATAAGGACCAAATGGTGGCATGCTTTGCTTTCTATTTCTATTGCTCTACTGCTTGGTGTGCTGATAAATTATTGATAACCAGGTGTGTGGAGAAAGGCTTGAATTGTAGTGGTTTCCAGTGTCTGTGGTGTAAATATTCCCAACGTGGTTGATGTCATTTATCATGAAGTAACTGAATGAGAGTTCAGAGGACATGCACAAAAGCATGCAACCATATAATATTTCCATCATATAATACAAACACCAATAATCTCAAGAGCATAGACGATGGTATAATAATTAGGATGTGATGGATTTCAAGTATTTGTTACTTAGTTTTTAGATGGAAAGAAAGGAATGAAGAGATTACTTGTGTAATGAATTACAAAAATATGAATTCAATCTGTGCAAAGCGTGCCTGGAATCTTAGATTTCAGAAGAGCAGAACTATACTACTGACATTATATGCTACGTCCAACATACATTTGACTCTCCATAGAGTGGAGTTAATGAATAAAAAGTAATTGTTCATATACAGGCTTTATCTACAATATAGTGTTAGATATCTTCATATAGGTAAATTTTGCTTTGCTATACTTTGTAATTTTCCTACAATAAAAATATAGCACTGTTATTATTAAGAATTAACAAGAGTGAAAAGTGAGGTTATATAACATTCAACCCAAAGTAGTTTATACAAAAACATAATTAATTAGCTAATATTTTCAGGAGGTTGAGGCATGATAGTGGCTTTAGTTATGGTTGGATTCAGAGGTTAATACAATTTGTTACAATTCTCGTCTTCCCTTCAACTGCCTATGACTGTGAGTTGGTTTTTTGCTATCCTAATCTCAACAGTTTTCCATCATTTTTTCTTAATAGGATAATCACATTCTCCCAGTATTGTGACTTAAATGTGTCTTTTATGTTTAATTTAGTGTATAAGTCTTGCAGAGGATACTGATTGACCCAGTGCAGGTAATATTCCAATTCATGAACAAATCACAGCAGCCTTGGAAATAGAAGATTCAAACTGACCAGTACAGATCACGTTTTCTTTAGTGAAGGAAGAGTGGTGTGCTGAAATTGCCAGTTCCACAAAAGAGAATAAATGATTTCTTAAGGAAATGTACCTTGGGCGGTAAATAACATAGGTCTACTGTAATTGTGAAGTGAAGGTGAAAGGTGAATTGGTAGCTAGAGGGGAATATAAGGCTGAAGGAAAGCACATAAAATAAAATGTTGTGTATGAGATTTGTGAATTACCCAAAGCTAAGATGAACTATAAATATAGTTGATGAAAAGATTGGATTCAAAATGATCTCAATAGGCAGAAACAAGAAGAATAAAACAAGATGTGATTTCACAGGAGCAAATACAAATTCTTACACTTTGGTTCGAACACTTGGCTTTATATAAATAAAAAAGTAGAAAATAGAATTTACAGCTGTGCTACTGAAATAAGAAAAACTTGAACTTTTACTTAACTTCAAGTTCAATAGTTGCTGACAGCATGACTCTGTTGCTAAAAACGGTAATCCAATCTTTGGCTGTTGTAGGGTTCAGAACAAAGGAGATTATAGTCTCTGTGTGCTCTCTGTTGATCATATTAAATCCAGATCATTGCTTCCAGTTTGGGGTTCCATATTTTAAGAGTGACACTAATAAACTCAAGGGAATCCTGAATCAGATGAAGAGGGTAGAATAATATGTCTCAAAAATGACAGAATAAACTGGGTATAATTTTTATCATAAAAGGGATGTTATCAGGAATATTTAATAGCCTCCTTCAACTGTTTTCAGATGTATCTATAGAAAAGGAAGGACATTAATTCTGGTGTCCAGAAGAACATGAATATGTTAATTGATACAAGTCAAAATAAAAGGAATCTGGCTTATTAGGAGGATGACTTTCTTTTTAATGTACGTCTATCAGAGACTGACATTAAATCAGTCTCTGATAGATTTCATTGCTAATTATTAGCAGAGGAGACAATCTCAAACATAGGGACTTTGTGGTTACTCTGTATTCACAACTCACTCTTTTAAAATTATTTTTATTTTTAATTTTGTTCTAAATGTTAACTTCCAGAGCACATGTGCAGGATGTGCAGGTTTGTTACATAGGTAAACGTGTGCCATGATGGTTTGCTGCACCTGTCAATGCATCACCTTGGTTTTAAGCCCAACATGCATTAGCTATTAATCCTGATGTTCTCCTTCACCCCACCACAATGTGTTGTTCCCCTACCTGTGTCTATGTGTTCACATTGTTCAGCTCCTCACTTTTAAGTGAGAACATATAATGTTTGGTTTTCTGTTCCTGCGTTAGTTTGCTGAGGATAATGGCTTCCATCTCCATCCATGAGGAGGATGACATCTTTAACTGTGAAATTACTGCATTTCAAAATTGTGTGTTTTATTAAAGATGTTAATTTAAATAATAAATTAGTATGGTTGGGTGAGAGAGGAAAAATATTAATAAAGGTATGAATGAGTATAAAGTACTAAACAATGGTCCCTATTGAAACCCTGTTTAAAATAGTTAAGATATTTAAAATAAATTTTTCAAATATATTCTAAATTTTATTTTCCTTCTGCAATTTTACTGCGTGCTGCCTTTATATCTACTTTTTCAATTTGATTTTTAACAAGTTTATTGAGGTGTAATTGACATATGATAAACCACACATAAAGTGTATAATTGATGTTTTGACATATATATCTGTGAAACCACCATCACAATCAATAAAGTGAATATATCAATAACCCCTAAAAGTTTTCGTATGCTTTTCTGGATTTCCTCCTTTCCAAAACTTTCCCTATTTCCACTATCTGCATACCTAGGCAAATGCTGACCTGTTTTCTACTAACATTGATTTATTTGCATGTTTTAGAATTTTATATGAATGTAATATTACAGCATGTTTTCTTTTATCTGGCTCCTTTTATCCAGCATAATTACATGGTAGTTTCTCCATGTTGATATGTGTATCAATAGTTGAATCATTTTCTATCTGAGTACTGTGTAGATATCTCATAATTTGTTCATCCGTTCACCTACTGATGAACATTTGGGTTATTTTCAGTTAGAGGCTGTTACAAGTTTTGGTATAGACATGTGCTTTCATGTTTTCCGTGTAAATATCTAAGAGAATATTGGCTGAACTATATGATAGATGAATGTTTAACACTTTGAGAAATTGCCAACATTTTCTCCAATGGGTCGTACCATTTTACATTTCCACCAGAAGTGTGTAAGTGCTCTAATATCTTCACATTCTGATCAGTCTATTCAATCTTAAGACATTCTAATGGAAATGTAATGGTATCACATTGTGGTTTTAATTTACATTCCCCCAATTGTTAATGTTGGTAAACATTTTTCCGTGGGAAACATTTTTCAAGACAGTAACCCATGAAAAAATCATGACTTTCATGCATAACACCTCTCATCTCTACTCAGTATACAGAAACTCTTTATTGCCTTGAAACAATATTAAAATATTTTTCTCTGTGAAATTATGTAATTATAAAAATATAAAAATAAGAATTAAATACAAGTAAAAGAAAATTAAAAATATATGTATTTAGCCCAATTCTTTTTATAGTATTGTGGCTTTTGTTTTGATGCTGTTTAATAATTTGATGTCCACTTTTTCTAGATAAGACTTAGTTTGTCTTTTCTAAAGGTAGATAACTAAAAGAAAATAGAAAATAAGCCTGCCAACAAAATAAAAAATGAAGATTTAAAAACTAAATGGACAGAAAGGTATTGCTATAATGTAGAATGAATATATATTAATTATATAGAAAAACTAGTTATATATATCTAGTTATATATATATATGTATATACATATATATATAAAACCTTATTTACTTACAAAATGATCTGCAACAAAATGTTCCCCCTTTACAGATGAGGAACCAAGTTTAAGGAAGGAGGTTAAGCAATTTGCAAAAGGTCACATTCAGTCTTAAGTAGCCTATTCACCAATCCAATGCTATTTGTCATTTGACTTATTTCAGACTAAATATCCTCACATAAAAAAATTGAGAGACTGAATCAAATAATCCTTCAATTCATGTCTCTTTGAAGATTCTACCGAGAGAATACCAAAAGTTTAGTTTAAAATTACTTGTATGTGACATTGGTACGATGAGTAAAACTAAAATAGACTGTCCATCTGTCTCTGGTAGCTGCTCACTTCCTAGAATTTGTAACACCAAAATATTTTATCTGCCTCAGCTCCTACTTATTTGAGTAAAAATATTTTCTTTAAATATGACTATTATAGCTTAAAGAAAATTATAGCATTCATTTCTAATTCTAAAATATGGTGCTAATATATTCTTTCATTAAACCAGAAAATATACCTTCCTCTCTCACTAGCCTGACTCATATTTCTTTTATTAATTCAATATGGGGTTCATAGAACAATGCATTTTATGACTATTAATTCACAACCTGTCTTCACAATTTTCAAGTGGAACTCCTCTAACTGTGAAAAGAGTTTCATATTAAAATCTATACGATATGACCCATGGTTTTGTACCTCAAGAATTCATCAGTGGAATTATAACTCTATAATTCAGATTAACTGTAACTCCCATACTTGATAGAATGTATTTAAAATATGTTTAAAAGCATGGAGATACAAATACTTCTAAATTCATTTTTGTTTTAATATTATAGGCTGTTTCCTTTGGTGTCATTTTTTTATCCCAATTTGATAAATTAAATGTGAATCACTTATGAACAAATAAAATACCATTAAAAATGGAAGCAAATTGGAAAATGAAAATGATTGAAAATGCAAGTGCAATTTCCTTGGATATTTTTGTCACGAACCTTAGAAGGAATTACTTATGAATATTATTTAAGGACCCAGTATGTCTTACGGCATACCTCTCAAATCCTGCCACCATCTGATGAAGGGCACTTCAAATTCTTAGTAGCAAATTTTTTAAAATAATTTCTATTTCTTAATGTTAAAAATTTAATAACAAATTTAAAATGTTTCTTAAATCAGTGTGAATACATTCTGAATACTTTCTGAAAGCTTTCATTTAACATCTTTATTGAATCAACCACTGTTTATTAAGTAAAAGTTAGATGCCCAACACAATCCTAAGCAACAGTCTACGCAGGCAGGGCTCCTTCTTTCATGGCAGGTATATTGTGAGGGTCTGGCTAACATAGGTAGGTAAGGCAGAGAGAGACTCTCTGGGGAGGTGAAATTAGGACTGAAAATTGAACATGGAGAGTCTGAATAAAAGAATTCCAGGTTGAAGGAACAATGAGTGCAAGGACACTGAGACAGAAACCTTCTTAGCACATTTAAGGAACAGGAAGAAAGCCAGTGTGACTGGAAGATGAAGAGAATGGGGAGAGATTTGGAAGATAATATTAAATTGATATCCAAACAAAGTATATAGGATTTTGTGAGCCAAGGGAGTCTGGATTTGATTCTAAATTTGAGGAAGTTTTTAAGCAAGGGAGTGATTTGATTCAACTTACTTTTTGAGACTATTCTGTTCATTCTTTGAAGAATAGATGGTAGGTGTCGAGTATGGAGATGCATAAGTATAAAGCGGGAACTTCAGCATTTCACAATGAGACGAAACAGGCGATTGACAGTAGAGAGATGAAGAGAAACATATATATTTAAGATATATTTTGGAAATCAAGTCAATAGTATTTATAGATTAGTTAGATTTAGGAAAGGAAGAAGAGATTAATTAAAGACCGCTCTCCGATGTTTTACCACATCTTTCAGTTAGTTCCATTTACTATACAAGGAAGCCAGAAAAGTGTATACTTATAGGTTTGGGATATTAAATGGGATGCATAAAATGCCCTGTAGTCAACATGTCAAATCTGAGGTGACTAATATTCAGCTAAATGAAATGTGTAGTAAGAATTGATAAAAAGAGTCAAATTCTGTAAAATAATTGAAGACATTTATTCTGAGCCAAATGTAAGGACCATGGCCCATGACACGGCCTCAGGAGGTCCTGAGAACATGTACCCAAGGTGGTTGGTTTACAGTTTGACTTTATACATTCTAAGTGGACAAAAGTTACAAGCAGACATCAATCAATACATGTAAGAGGTGTACTTTGGTTCAGTCCTGAAAGGTGAGACAACTTGAAGCAGGGGCTTCCACTTAATAGATGAATTCAAAGCTTTTCTGATTGGCAATTGATTAAAAGACTTAAGTTGTTATCTAAAGACCAGGGATCAATAGAAGGGAGTGTCTGGGTTAAGATAAGGGATTCCTTATGCAGATAAAGCCTCCAGGTAGTAGGCTTCAGAGCCCTTATCAGACCTAATGATGTGCGAGTCGTTTAGTTAACTCTCTCCTGCATCAGGGAAAAGGGAAGGGGATTCTTTACAGAATGTAGATTTTCCCCACAAGCGATAGCTTTTCAGGGCCATTACAAAATATGTTAAATAAACATATTTTGGCGTAAAATAAAAGTAAGTCAGTTTCCTTCAGGGCCTGCTATCTGTCATGTGATACTATACTAGAGTCAGATTGGAATTTGGTATCTCATTGCTACAAGTATCTGATTTGTCAGTCTTGAGATCTCTGTTTTAACATTAATGTTGTTCAATTGTGCCTGAATTCTAAAGGGGGAGGATATAATGAGTGTGCCCCACCCCTCCCTTCCCATCACGGCCTGAACTAGCTTTTCAGGTTTACTTTGGAGTACCCTTGCTGTTCATCAATCATTTGCGGACTTTGGAGTACCCTTGCTGTTCATCAATCATTTGCGGGGGCTCAGAATTTTATTTTTGTTTTCAATAGACAACTGAATATTTAAATCTTAGCCTCAAGGTAAACATAAATATGGAGGTAAATAATTATGAGTCAGCTAAATATAAATAATATTTAAAGCTATGATCACAGAGAAATGATATAGATATTAAAGAAACTAAAACTGAAACTATGGCTTAACCTAACATTTAAAGGTCAGTCATAGCAGAAGGATTTCAGAAAGGGAATTGTCGCAGAAGTGCCTGTGGTATTTAAGAACAGTCAGAGACATGTTGTGTTGTGAAATCTAAGACTGGAAGGTGTTTTGGGAAAAAGCAGTGGCCATCTGTGTTGATGAGAGATTGAATGATATGAAGGCAAAGTAGTGACTGTTGACTTTGGCAAGATGAAGGCTGCTCCTGGAATTGAAAGCATGTTTTTAGAATAGATTGGATAGACAAAGGTATAGGGCTAATGATGTTATTTTAAGAAAACTTAATGTTCATGGGCAGAGTGGCAAGGTTTGCTACAGGCAAATTTCTTCTAATTCATATGTATGTGCTTAGAGACAGGCAAAATGCATATTCTATTCTACATGAATGGCTTACTTCTTTGACTTTTTGTTTTTTCATTTTAATCCAGTGATATTTCTGACTCAATAATGAATTTGGCAGCCCAATTCTTAAGGGAAAAAAAATGACTCCCAGTAGCATTTACCTACTGAGTGCTATGTTAGGCAAAGTTGAAAGTATTTCTTTTCAGCTCTATCATCTTGCACAATGACTACCCTTGCAGTATTTATATTTTACTTCTGTTTACAGAAACACAAAAGAAACAAATGACAGAGCTATAATAGGAATTTTAAATTTTTATCATCAATAACACTGGTATACTCTTTGATAGTGTTAAAGTAGGTAGTCAGACAGATATGAGCAAAGTAGGAGAGGGCCCTAAGCAATGGCAGCCACTCATTAGGTGATGGTCAGGTGATCATAAAACTGTCTCTCTGAAATGATAAGGGGCTATGACTGATGGCACGAGGGACAGAAGTTCTCCAACAGATAGAAAATATCAGGAGCCAGCAAAACACAATTCTCTGATAAGGTCTCAACCACGTGCAGTAGGGGGCGAAATAGTGGAGTTTGACTGGTATGTGACCTTTGTCTGGGAGTGCTTGATCAGTAAGGGAAAAATCACCCCCAAAGTGAGCATATGCACAACCTGAGTAAATACACTGTGCCTATGGCCCTTCCAGAGTGCTGGCAGGCCACTGTGCATGCATCAATTGAGCAACAGCCTGCCCAAAGGGAGGGAAAAGAAAACCCTGGAACCAAGCCAATGTAAAAAAGTCCCAAGCCAAGGGCTGAACAGGGCACTTGATTTCTCAAGTCGCCCTCTTAGCTATCTTCCAAGTGTACTTTGCTTCTTTCACTAAAAGTTTGCCTCCACTTTAAAACTTGCCTGGTATCTCAGTTGAAATATTTCCTCTGAGAGACAAGGGCCAAGATCACTGTGGACTTGCCATGAGTAACTTTCTTTGGTGCCACCTAACTTGGATCCACTATCTAGTGGTAAGTCACTGCTATACCTTGCTGTCTTCGGCTGTAAGCATTCAACCCCCATACATGATTTCTTCTCCTTTTCACTCTCCTACTGTTTTGGTTCATTTTCACACTGCTGATAAAGAGATACCTGAGATTGGGCAACTTACAAAAGAAAGAAGTTTATTGGTGTCACAGTTCCACGTGGCTGGGGAGGGCTCACAATCATGGTGGAAGGTGAAAGGCACATCTCAGATGGTGGCAGATGAGAGAAGAGAGTTTGTGCAGAGAGACTCCTGTTTTTTAAAACCATCACATCTCATGAGACTTATTCACTATCATGAGAACAGCATGGGAAAGACCCACCTGATGATTCAGTTACCTCCCAGCAGGTTCTTCCAGTGACATTTGGAAATTCAAGATGAGATTTGGGTGGGGACACAGCCAAACCATATCATTCCATCCCTGACCCTCCCCAATTTCATGTCCTCACGTTTCAAAACCAATCATGCCTTCCCAACAGTCCCCCAAAGTCTTAACTCATTTCAATATTAACTCAAAAGTCAACAGTCCAAAGTCTCATCTGAAAGAAGGCAAGTCCCTTCTGCCTATGAGCCTGTAAAATCAAAAGCAAGTTAGTTACTTCCTGGATACAATGGAGGTACAGGCTTTGGGTAAATATAGCCATTCCAAATGGGAAAAATTGGCCAAAAAAGGGGTTACTAGTCCCATGAAAGTCCAAAATCCAGCAGGGCAGTCAAATCTTAAAGCTCCAAAATGATGTTCTTTGACTCCATGTCTCACATCCAGTTTATGCTAACACAAGAGGTGGGTTCCCAAAGTCTTGGGCAGCTCCACCCTGTGGCTTTGCAGAGTATAGCCTCCCTCCTGGCAGCTTTCATGGGCTAGTGTTGAGTGTCTGTTGCTTTTCCAGGTTCACAGTGCAAGCTCTCAGTGGATCTACCATTCTGGAGTCTGGAGGATGGTGGCCCTCTTCTCACAGCTCCACTAGGTGGTGCCCCAGCAGGGACTCTTTGTGGGGGCCCCAACCACACAATTCCCTTCTGCACTGCCCTAGCAGAGGTTCTCCATGAGAGCCCTGCCCCGATGTAAACTTCTCCCTGTACAGCCAGGCATATCCATACATCCTCTGAAATCTAGGCAGAGGTTCCCAAACCCCAATTCTTGACTTCTGTGCACTGGCAGGCTCAACACCACATGGAAGCAGCCTAGGTTTGGAGCTTAAACTCTCTGAAGCCATGGCCCTAGCTCTATGTTTGCTCCATTCAGCAATGAATGGAGCAACTGGGATGCAGGGCACCGTGTCCCTAGGCTGCACACAGCACAGGGACTCTGGGCCCATCCCTGAAACCACTTTTTTCTCCTCTGCCTCCAGGCCTGTGATGGGAGGGGCTGGGGTGAAAACCTCTGACATACCCTGGAGGCGTTTTCTCCATTGTCTTGGAGATTAACATTCAGGTCCTCGTTACTTATGCAAATTTCTGCAGCCAGCTTGGATTTCTCATCAGAAAATGGAATTTTCTTTTCTATTGCACTGTCAGACTGCAAATTTTTTGAACTTCTATGCTCTGCTCCCCTTATAAAACTGAATACCTTTAGCAGCACCCAAATCACCTCTTGAATGCTTTGCTGCTTAGAAATTTCTTCCGCCAGATACTCTAAATCATCTCTCTCAAGTTCAAAGTTCCACAAATCTCTAGGGCAGAGACAAAATGCTGCCAGTCTTTTTGCTAAAACATAACAAGAGTCACCTTTGCTTCAGTTCCCAGTAAGTTCCTTGTCTCCATCTGAGATCACCTCAGCCTGGAGTTTATTGTCCATATTGTTTTCAACATTTTGGGCAAAGCCATTCAAGAAGTCTCTAGAGAGTTCCAAAGTTTCCCACATTTTCCTGCGTTCTTCTGAGCCTTCCAAACTGTTTCAACCTCTGCCCGTTACCCAGTTCCAAAGTCGCTTCCATATTTTTGGGTATCTTTTCGGCAGCAGTCCACTCTACTAGCACCAATTTACTGGATTAGTCCATTTTCATGCTGCTGATGAAGACATACTTGGGACTGGGCAATTTAAAAAAGAAAGAGGTTATTGGACTCACAGTTTCTTGTGGCTGGGGAGGCCACATAATCATAGCAGAAGGTCAAAGACATGTCTCACATGATGGCAGAGAGACTCCTGTTTGTAAAACCACTAGATCCTCATGAGACTTATTCACTATCACGAGAACAGCACAGGAAAGACCCACCCCCATGATTCAATTACCCCCAAGCAGGTTCCTCCTGTGACACATGGAAATTCAAGATGAGATTTGGGTAGAGATACAGCCAAACCATATCACCTCCCTACTAATCACTCTCCTGAATGATTCCCCTTTACTACAGTGACTCTGCTTCTTTTGCTTAATTTCTCAGTTCATGCTGACAGGTGACCTGCAGTGGTGGGAAGACCGTGTGGTACACACCCCAAAGAGTAGATCTGAGTTACTGTGCTCCTCCTAGACAGGAGGCTTGCGAGTATGGTAGAGCTAAGCCTAGATTCTGTAATATCTGGAGAATTCTTCTTCTTCTTCAACTAAAATTAGCTTTTTTTCAAAACCCACACCTGTACTATCTATTCTCCTGAGTTCTCTTCTGTATATTTTGGAATGGCTTTGCATACTCACTGGACCATTCACCTCAGAGGTAAATCAACCTCTTCTCTGCTCTCACTTTGTGTGCCACACGAATTCCTTTCCTGCTTGAAACATACACTCCCCATTTGCTGTTTGAACACTCAGGCTCTTGTTGTGTCTGCTTGGCAGCCAACAGACAGGCACATTTATGGGTGTCCCCAGAGATTTACACTCTATTTCAGCCCTCCAATCTGGATGATAGATGATCTCCAGCCCGTTCCCTGTCTCTTGGCCGGCTGTCAGGAAAAACACTGGCCACAGCCCTGACTCCACTCACTCTTTGTTACTTACTCTTCATCTTTTATCTCTACCACACCCTGAGATTAATTTTCTAGTGGCTCTTGAGGAGGTTTCTCCACCTTTACAGGGCCTCCATTTATAGTCCACTAAAAGCACCTCTTATCTCAATACTGGGGATAGCTCCTTTTTGGGAAATGGGACAATCTTTCCTCTGCCTAGTAAGAGCCCTTATTCCAAATTCCCTGTTTCTCCAGAGGCTTCTCCTTTATTTCAAGAAGGCAGACAAGCACTGTCCCCTAGGCACTAGAGGCTGTTTTTTTCTGTGAAAAAAACAAAGGCTTCCCACAAGCATCTGTCATGCTTCCTTCCCTTCCCAGCCATTACAGACGGATTGCCATGCCTGTTTAAACTATCTTTTGCATATTGCCTATGGAAGATGAAATTTTCCTATCTTCTTCTAACTTCCTTCTCAACATGCCCAAAGATCGCCAAATGTACATACAGGGAAAAAGAAATCTGGCCTCTTTATGGCTACTGGCTAGGAACAGGGCCCTCATTTACCTAAAGGACCTGGGAAATGGAAATGCAAGAGAATGGGAAGCCATGTCATTGCTAGGATGCTCTGGATGCAGGTCACTACAAGGTCCTGGAGACAGGGATACAGGCTGGCCCAAGGCCGCAAGCACAGGAGACCAAATTACTCATAGAACAGAGATAAAGACTGGTCCCAGGCTAAAAGCACAAAACTGATTATCACCAGAACAGAGATAAAGGCTGGTCCCCCAAATGGGACGGAACCAGGGATGGGGTACCTGGTAAACAGCAGTTCATTTCAGAACTCCAAGAATTAATGGATGGGGGCACCTTGCTCTCTCTGGTTTGCCATAGGCACAGGTTTAAGGGAATAAGGCAGGGATGCCATCTTCTTTCCTTCTCTCCTCTTTTATCTCTTTGCGGAGGAGTAACCACACTTCCATAAAACAAGATGGGACCAAGGTTAGGACCTGGCAAGCACTGATTCATTCTGGGACCCTTAGGATGAGTGATCCTTTTCACTCCAGTCTGCCATAAGTGCAGGAACTCCTATAATACACCAGAAAGGCACTGCTCACTCCAGTCTGCCATAAGCAGAGGAAAAAGTAAGTAAACCAGGAGGGACACTTTTTCCCTTCTCTGTTCTCTCTTTGCACATAGTTAATCATGTTCCCATACCAGAGAACATGTTCTTCAAATAAAAGCATCCTCAAGAACTGGGAAATGTTTAATCCCTAAACCTCCAAATATGACCTATCCTCAAGGAACGTTGCACGATAAATCCATCCAGTTTTGTCAAGAATACCCAAATGCATGAAGTACTCAAAATTTTTGGCTCTCGCCTGCTAATTACATTTAACATCTGCAGATTGCCAATCTCAGCTCTACAGTAAAATGGATTCTGTTGGACTGGTATGGTTTTGGTCTGTGTGTTCACCCAAACTTCATCACAAATTGTAATCCCCATGTATTAGGGGAGGGGTCTGGTGGGAGGTGATTAAATCATGCAGACAGACTTCCCCTTTGCTGTTCTTGTGATAGTGAGTGAATTCTCATGAGATCTGGTTGTTTGAAAGTGTGTGACACTTCCCCCTTCACTCTCTCTCTCCTGCTGCACATGGTAAGACGTGCTTGCTTCCCCTTTGCCTTCCACCATGATTGTAAGTTTCCTGAGGCCTCCCTGTCGTGATTCTGTTAAGTCTGTGAAACTGTGAGTCAATTAAACCTCTTTTCATAAATTATCTAATCTCAGGTAGTTCTTTATAGCAGTATGAGAATGAACTAAAAGAGAAAATTGGAACCAGGAGAGCAGGGAATTGCTATAAAGATGCCTGAAAATGTGGAAGGGACTTTGGAATTGGGCAGAGGTTGAAACAGTTTGGAGGGCTCAGAAGAAGATGGGAAGATGTGGAAAGTTTGGAACTTCCTAGTGACTTGTTGAATGTTGTGATCAAAATGCTGATAGTTATATGGAAAATGAAGTCCAGACTGAGGTGGTCTCAGATGGAGATGAGGAACTTATTGGGAACTGGAACATGGGTCACACTTGCTATACTTTACCAAAGACACTGGTGGCATTCTGCCCCTGCTCTAGGAATCTGTGGGACTTTGAACTTGAGAGAGATTATTTAGGGTATCTGGCAGAAGAAATTTCTAAGCAGGAAAGCATTCAAGATGTAG